>NC_000015.10:86441278-86592793 GCF_000001405.40 Homo sapiens | reverse complement strand
ACCAGGGAAAGGCAGTTTCCCAAGATAGAAAACACGTGAAGCTGGTGATCAGCAGCATTCTGATAAGATCTCAGAAGCTGGGTGAGTGGGCTCAAGCATGTCTACTAAGAGACAAAATGGCAAAGTTTAACTGTTATGCGACCTTCCTCTAAGAACACTCAACTGGTAAGGGAAAAACGCTTCTAATGAGCATGGCACAACTTCAGTAAACACACTGCACACACGGCCCCTCCCAAGTGCTGGCAGGCCACTGTGCATGCGCACAGTGCACCCCAAGGGAAAAATCAAGGGAAGAGAAATGGAAACTCTGGAACCATGCCAATGTACAAAACAAGTTAAGGGCCAAACAGCACACTTGGATCTCTCAAGTCTCTTGCTTGGCCTTCTTCATTTCATTCCTGCTCTAAAACTTTTTAAATAAACTTTCACTCCTGCTCTAAAACTTGCCTTGGTCTCTCCCTCTGCCTTATGCCCCTTGGCTGAATTCGTTTTTTTCTGAGGAGGCAAGAATCGAGTTTGCTGCAGACCCGTTGGATTCGCTGCTGCTAACAGTTTGATAAGAAATAGGACATTTACGTGGCCCCAGAGTATTTCCCCAAAGGAAAATGACTCATTACAATGGGAGAAAACAGTAACTTTACAGTTGAGAAACCTGGCAGACAACACTTTAACCAAGTGATCAAATTTAACATCACCAATATTGGGATGACCAACACTATGTACCTCCTGATATGATGCATTGAGGTGGGTCTATATTACTTCTGTGGTATTGTGATATTGTAAAATATATATTTGGTCCTTGACCTCATTTCCTGGTATATAACTTCTAAAATCCTTAGAATCTCCACAGTGATGTTTTGTATGTTAATTATTGACTGGTGACTGGCAGCCCCTAGGTAGCTTCAGGATGGCAGCTGGTCACCCGAAAGACCAAGATACAATTAGGGGGTTGGGATCTTCAACTCCACTCCTAACTTTTAGGGAGAGGAGAGGGGCTAAAGGTTAAACTAATCAACAGTGACTAATGGTTTAATCAATTGTGCCAATGTAATGAAGCCTCCATAAAAACCCAAGAGGATAGGATTTGGGGAGCTTCTAGATAGCTGAACATCTGGAGGTTCCTGGAAGGTGGCCCACCTAGAGAGGGGATGGAAGCTCTGTGCCACTTCCTCCATACTTCACCCTATGCATCTCTTCATCTATATTCTTTGTAATATCTTTTATAATAAACTGGTAAACACAAGTAAGTGTTTCTGTGAGTTCTGTGAGCCAATTTAGCAAGTTAACTGAATTTAAAGAGGTAATCATGGGAACCCCAACTTCAAGCCAGTGGGTCAGAAGTTCCGGAAGCCTGAACTTGTGACTGGTGTCTGGAAGTGCCAAGGGCATTCCTGGGGACTGAGCCCTTGATCTGTGGCATCTGGCACTATCTGTAGGTAGATAGCATCAGAACTGAATTGAATTAGAGGACATCCAGCAGGTGTCCAGTGGTTGGTGTGTGTGGAAAAACCCTTACTCATGTAATCACAGAAGTATTGCATTGATTGTTGTGTTGGGAAAGAGAATAGGAAAAAGCTCTGAGTTTGTATTTTTTCTCCTCAGAGGTACACTTACCAAAGATGCATAAAATGAATCTAACAATGAGAAAACAATCACACAAATTGAGGGACACCTTTAAGCGTCAAGGTTAAGAGAGATAAATCATGAGTAAGTATTCTAGATTAAGTAAACTAGAGAGCGAACTAAACTTAAAGTGGAATCTCAGACTGGATTCAGGACAAGGAAAACACAGCTATAACGTACATTATTGGGACAACTGAGAAAAGTTGAACACAAACTCTGGATTAGACAATCATACTGTATCAATGTATATTTTCTCATTTGGTCATTTCATTGTAGTGTGTGAGGAAAATAAAAGTGTTTTACACCAGAATATATTTCTTTGACATATTTTGAGATGGCTGTCAGAGAGCCAGCAAATAAAAGTAGCTCTGCAAAGCTGTCTTTCCTGGGAGAAATTTACATCATCTGTAGGGAACCTGCATTTATACTGCCAGGCCTTCTCCCTTGTCTGGATCCAAGAAAGACTAACTGAGAGTCTGACACCTTTAAAGGTCTCAAGGAAACATTTACTATCTATTGTCTCTGAGGGTTGCTACCTGTGAGGTTTCATCTACATAACAAGACCCCCTTTGCAAACTGTATTAGTCTGTTCTCACACTGCTAATAAAGACATACCAGAGACCGGGTAATTTATAAAGAAAAGAAGTTTCATTGACTCACAGTTTAGCATGGCTGAGGAGGCCTCAGGAAACTTACAATCATGGCTGAAGCAGAAGCAAACAGGTCCTTCTTCACATAGTGGCAGGACAGAGAAGAACAAGAGTGAAGTGGGGAAAAGCCCCCATATAAAACCATCAGATCTTGTGAGAACTCACTCTCATGAAAACAGCATGAGGGTAACCACCCCCATGACTCAATTACCTCCCACAGGGTGTCTTCCATGACACATGGAGATTATGGGAACTATAATTCAAGGTGAGATTGGGTGGGGACACAGATAAACCATATCACAAACCAAGTCTCCTCTTCTCTCCCTCCCATAATGTGTTTTACCAATACAACCTATTTTTGGCCATTGTCCGAGCTCCCATTCTGTGTGTAGCCTCAAGATGGTAAATAAGCTTTTGCAGCCCACTGGGGAGGCCAATCACTCTGTGGTTCTCCCTGTGCACACAGTAATAAACTGGATTCCTTTTATCTTATGAGTCTGCCTTTTGTGAGTTAATTGTTCAACAAACCCTCTGAGGGCAAAAGGAAGTTTTCCCTTTGCCCCTACATATGTAAGAGAATATGTAGAGAATATATTTTACTGTAGCTATACAAGATAGCTAAAACCTTGTTTTTAGGAAATGCATACAGAAATATACACTAAAAGGACATGATGTCTCCAAACTACTCTCAGATGATTACAAAAAATATGTGTGGACAGATAGAGAAATGATAGATTAGATAAAGAAGTAGACTAATAGATAGGATGGGAGGGAGGGAGGAAAGGAGGAGGAAGGAAGGGAAGGAGGAAAATTATAAAACAAATGGGGCAAAATGCAAACCATTTGGCAAATCCAAGTGAAGAAAGCAAAGATCAACTGGTGATCATCAAGCAAGCCATCCGGAGGCAAAACTTTTTATCTGAGGAATTTGAAGTAATTGGACTTCCCTTCTATCTAAAATAGGCATCTGGTTCCAGGCTTCTCTACCCAAAGTTTATAAGTAATTAGAATTTCTATACATCTCCAGAATGCATGCATATCGAATCTTATTGTGCAACCCTTGCTGCCATTAAGGCACAAAATGTCTACAAATTTAACCATTTATCATGGGCTATGTGACTAACATGATCCAAATTACCCTTAAGGTCCCACTTTAAGTTCCATAAATACCCCTAAGCAAAAATTCCTCATGGGGTGGTCAGCCCTCTCTTGCTGAGATGCCCCACTGCACTCTTCTGCAGTATACTTTCTATCTATAATAATAAAAATTTCCTTTTCAAACCTATAGAGTTATCAGTAAATTCTTACCAACCTGTGAGTTGATCACTTTCTGATGCCGGGGCTCTGACATCTCATCCGGCACTAAGTAATGAGTACTTCATTCTGTTCTAAAATGATACCCAAAAACAGACTTCAAATCAACCATCGTAAGTTATTCATATTTAAAAAAAATTGTTGTCCTTCTGTGTCCATGCACACAGTGTATATATACATATATATATATATGAAGATTCTGAAAAGATACACATAAAAAATAAAAATTGTGAAAGATACATGAACGGGAAATGTTTAATATTCTTTAGATCTTTTATGATCAGCATATTCTCAGTCTTCTCAATAAACATTGATAACACGTATTTGCCATCAAAGAAATAATAAAGGCTTAACACAATTCAAAAGACACTTGCTTCAGTTTCCTCTGAGGAAGAGTCACTATCAATAAATATGGGTTTCTGTTCAGTTCTTGCTGCCTCCTCATAGGGTCAGGTTTAATTCTTCCCCAAGAGGGAGACTAAAAACAAAGCTTAGTCATGCTGCAAACAGAAGATTCCGGAGTCAAACTCTGCTTCAGAGGTGAGCCTGCTGTGCTCCATCACAGAGGCCCTGACACACACTCCAGGGGTTGGATTTGATCAGGTTGTGGTTGCCGTGGTGTCTGACTTCAGGCAAATGAGTTCTATCTGCATATGAGCTTCAGCCTTATGAAAAATGTTGAAAAGCCACATCCCACAGATCCCAGCACTCCCTGCAGCTACTTCTCCCTTGCAGGACACAGCAGGCAGGCCAGTCCTCAATGGTTACTGCTGCAAGTTTTCTTCTGGTAGGGGCAGGAGTGGGGAGGCATATCTCGTTGTTTAGGACAGTAGAATTACTACTGGCTGAATCCTCTCAGTCAGTGATAACTGGAGGAGATCAACTGTGTAAGAGGGTCTTTGATAAGACCTGTAGGTGATCAAGGCTCTCTAAATATAACTTCTTTATTCACATTCACATTTATTCACACTGTGTAGAGTAGCCAACCCAGGCTCATCCTGATTTCAAATATCATAATATTGTATTAACGAAGGTATAATGCAGAATTTTAAAATTCTCTTCATGAACTTTATTCTTAAACCCACAGGTAATTTTCTAACTGTGCAATTAAACATAAGCATTACTTATACCTTTACATAAGTTTATATTTAGAATAATGAAGAATAGTGCCAGCAGATATGTTAGTTATTAGTAATCCTTTCCATGTACATGCATACATATACAAAGCAGTTACTTTTTCAGAGACAGGTTGGGGTCTAAAAGACAAGTCTGGGTTCATAGTGAGTCGTTGGAGCCTGGGGAAGAACTAGAAGCTTCCTACTGTGATATGATACTTGCTTTGTGATTTTGATCCTAATGGTTCTCACCCCTGGATGTAACACAGCCCAGCAGCTGTTGTGTGATTACTACGTGGGTTCTCATGGCAGCATCTTCCCTGTCTTGGTCACTTTCTGCGGTTGCATGTGGGTACTCTGACTTTAATCAAAACTTATTTTTTCTGTCTTCTGAGTTTCTCTAAATTGCTGTACTTTTAAAGAAAATATATACTAAAAGGTACACACCCTCACTGCTCTAAACTGAATGACAACTGAACATTTCCTGCAGCAAACCCAGTGCCACTTGGCCTTTATGCCTTTGCTTATACTGCTCCTTCTTCCACGAACGCCCTCCTCCCACTTGCTTCCTATAGAATTAGACCCACTTTCCCAAACCGTAGCCAACACAAGCCCCTCCATGAAGCCTTTTTAACAACCCCCAAGCAACCAAATATAATCTCATCTTTCTCCAAACACTGAAACGGTGCTGCCACAGGTGAGCTCGGATTCCATCTGCCTTGCTGCACAATTGCTTAGTACTGCATATCCTTGCAGCACTCTGAGAGGAGGCCAAGGAGCATAGAGGTCAGAGGAAAAAGAGACAGCAACCCAACTTAGTTTGAATCCCTGATTCCTCACTTCATTTCTGATTTTAGATAAAGTATTCATCCTGTCCGTGCCTCAGTTTCCTCATCTGTAGAAGGAAGATAAAAACAATGCCTGCTCATAAGCTCATGGTGGGAGTAAGCTAAGACCATGACTGCAGTGTGCTCAGGGAAGCAGAATAATTTAGCAGTAAGGAGAGAAGCCTCAGTTGCAAATCTGATGGGTTCTAGTCCGAACTCTTTAAAGGTACTGAGGAATGGACTCTGACCTTTTTACTTCCTCATATGCCTTTCTAAGGGGCCTGGGGAGTCATGCCTCACAAACCCTTAAAGCTCATTAAACAGGTCTTTTTTGACCCAGTATATTGTGGCCTACTTTTCAACCAGACTCTAACATGGCATCACATGACAAATAACAGACCCCCCCTTAACTTAAGCATTCCTTTCTATTGACCCCAAGTTTTTAAACAAAGCTTAACTCTTTCAACCAAGTGCCAAATAAATAACTCCTAAACCTTCCTATGACTTATAAGCTCCCACTTCGAGATGGCCTGCCTTTTCAGACCAAACTATTGTATACCTCCCAGGAATTTATTTATGATTTTACCTGCAATTCTTATCTTCCTGAAATGTATTAAACCAAACTGTAACCCGACTGCTTTAGGTGCACTTTCTCAGGACCTCTTGAGACTGTTTTCCTGGGCTGCTGTCACTTACATTGGCTCCGAATAAAACACTTTATATATTTTAACAGAATTTCGGTTTTCTGCCATCATTACGCTCTGTGTGACCTTGGACATGTTACTCGACTATTCTCTGCCCTAATTTTCTCATCCTAAAAGGTATATGATAAAAATAGCAACTACCTCATAGGTTTACATTGATAGTAAATACAACACATGCAAACATAAGAACACATAGTAAGTTCTAATAAATATTACGATTTATTATAAAAGCCACTCCAAGCAGGTAAACTAATGGCAAACACTTAAATAACATTACTTGTTATCATTCAGTTATGAATGTTTTCAGGTGTCCCTAGTACCTTGTCTAGATAACTTAGAATTACAGGCTAGGAGAGAAAGAGATAGAGACAGAATGAGAGAGTAAGCAAGAGAGAGGGGGATTTATTATTCCTTCCTCTTCTCCTTTCTGACTCAGTTTTAGAAAGCATTATCTCTCAGATGAGAATGTTCTTGCCTGTGAAGCTGAATCTGAATTCATGGTTCTATTCGGTGCAGAGGCATGCCGACAGGCAGCATGCCTGTGTGTCTAAATAGACACTGAACATCACCAAAGCCCTTGTCATAGTGAAAGCAGTGGAATGTGGAGCATGGCTAGGTATTCTTAATCATTTTCTTCCTGCTTCATCCTCACAGTCTGTCTAGAACTCTGAGCTCCTTGTCTCACCATTGTTATGAATTTGCTAATTATTCCTTTCAATCTACTTTGAATGCAATTCCTGGATTTCACACCTAGTCTCCAGTCTGTGCAACTTAAATAACCAAGTGATGACAGAGAGAGCCTTCCAACAGAAAACAGTTCCTGGACTCCTTGAACCATTTTTTCTCTAACCCTTTGTTTATTTTATGTTTAAAAGGAGTGGTGTCCAAATAGCTCACTCAGGTAAGATGGCTCATACCTTTAATCCCAGTGCTTTGGGAGGCTGAGGCAGGAGGATTGCCTGAGAACAGGAGTTCAAGACCAGCCTGGGAAACATAGTGAAACATATCTCTATAAAAAAATAGAAGTAAAAAATAGCTGGGCATCGTGGCACACACCTGTATTTCCAGCCACTCGGGAGTTCAAGCTTATAATAAGCTATTATCACACCACTGCACTCCAGCCTGGGCAGAGACAGTGAGACCCTGTCTCTAAATAAATAAATACATAAAAAGAAAACAATAAAAGGAGTTCTGTATGTATTTGCACACTTGAAAACTACTGATTTTACCTTCGCTCCTTTTTTACTCTTATCTTTGGCCAGCATTCTATCTTCTGACTCCATCACACTCCAGCCTGCTTCCAATCTCAAAATTCTGGGGCATTTGCACAAATAAAACTTCCAGTTCTGAGGAAGTACTAGCCAGAGCAATCAGGCAAGAGAAAGAAATAAAAGGCATCCAAAAAGGAAAAGAAGAAGTCAAATTATCTCTCTTCATAGACAGCATGATTCTATGTCTAGAAAACCCTAAATACTCCACCAAAACTTCTGGAATTGATAAGCAACTTCAGTAAAGTTTTAGGATACAAAGTCAATGTATAAAAATCAGTAGCATTTCTATACAACAGTAACATTCAAGCTGAGAGCCAAATCAAGAACACAATCCCATTTACAATAGTCACACAAATAAAATAAAATAACTAGGAATAGATCTAATCAAGGAAGTCAAAGGTCTCTATAAGGAGAACTACAAAACACTGCTGAAAGAAATCACAGATGACACAAACAAATGGGAAAACATTCCATACTCATGGATTGGAAGAATCAATATTGTTAAAATGACCCTGCTGCCCAAAGAAATCAACATATTCTATGCTATTTCTATCAAACTACCAATATCATTTTTCACAGAGCTAGAAAAAAACCTATTCTAAAATTCATATGGAACCAAGAAAGAGCTCAAATAGCCAAGCAATCCTAAGCAAGAAGAACAAAGCCAGAGGAATCACATTATCAGACTTCATACTGTACTGTAAATTTATAGTAACCAAAACAGCATGGTACTGGTACAAACAGATAAATACCAATGGAACAGAATAGAAAACTGAGAATAAAGTCACACACATACATCCATCTGATCTTCAACAAAGTCAACAAAAACAAGCAATGGGGAAAGTACTCCCTTTTCAATAAATGGTGCTGGGCTACCTGGATCGCCACATACAGAAAAATGAAACTAGACCCATACCTTTCCTCATATGCAAAAATTAACTCAAGACGGATTAAAAGATTTAAATGTAACACCTTAAACTAAAAGAATACTAGAATATAATCTAGGAAACATCATTCTGGACATTGACCTTGGGAAAGAATTTATGACCAAGTCCTCAAAAGCAATTGCAACAAAAACAAAAACTGACAAATGGGACCTAATTAAACTGAAGAGCTTCTGCACAGCAAAAGAAACTATCAAAAGAGTCAACAGACAACCTAGGGAATGGCAAAAAGTATTTGCAAACTATGCATCCAACAAAGGTCTAATATCCAGAATTTACAAGGAACTTAATCTAACAAGCAACAAAAAAATAACCCCATTAAAAATGGGTAAAAGACATTAACAGACACTTCTCAAAAGAAGACATACAAGTGGCCAAGAAACATGAAAAAACGTTCCACATCACTAATAATCAGAGAAATGCAAATCAAAACCATAATGAAATACCTTCTCACACCAGTCAGAATAACTATAATTTTAAATGTCAAAAACAACAGATGCTGATGAGGCTGTGGAGAAATGGGAATGCTTATACACTGTTGGTGGGAATGTAAATTAGTTCAGCCACTAGGGAAAGCAGTTTGGAGATTTCTCAAAGAACTTAGAACAGAACTACTGTGTGACCCAGCAATTCCATTACTGGGTACATACTCAAAAGAAAATAAATCCTTCTAAAATGATCAGTCTAAAAGACACATGCAGTTGCACATTCACTGTAGCACGATTCACAATAGAAAAGATATGGAATCAACTTAAGCGCCCATCAGCAGTGGACTGGATAAAGGAAATGTACATATATACACCATTGAATACCACACAGCCATAAAAGATGAAATCATGTCCTCTGTAGCAACATGGATGCAACTGGAGGCCACAATCTTAAGCAAATTAACACAGGAACAGAAAATCAAATATTGCATGTTCTCACTTATAAGTGGGAACTAAACATTGGGTACATATAGATAAAAATATGGCAATAATAGACACTGGAGAGAGGGGTAGGGAGGGGGCAAGGGTTGAGAAACTTAATATGAGGTAGTATGCTAAGTAGGTATATACCTGCTAATTTTAGGTACCAGTACCTTGGTGGCAGGAGGAATTGTACCCCAAACTTCAGCATCACTCAATATACTCAAGTAACAATCCTGCACATGTACTCCCTGACTCTAACATAAAAGTTGAATTTTTTTTTTTAAATTCCAATTCTCATCTCTAAAAATACTTTTCCTCTTAGATAAAATAATAGCTAATCATATTTACATTCCCCAACTAATAATACCATGGTGTTTTTTAAAAAAAAAATTTCAAAAAATATTATAACTTTTTTTTATTGTTATTATACTTTAAGTTTTAGGGTATGTGTGCACAATGTGCAGGTTTGTTACTTATGTATACATGTGCCATGTTGGTGTGCTGCACCCATTAACTCGTCATTTAGCATTAGGTATATCTACTAATGCTATCCCTCCCCCCTCCCCCAACCCCACAACAGTCTCCGGTGTGTGATGTTCCCCTTCCTGTGTCCATGTGTTCTCATTGTTCAATTCCCACCTATGAGTGAGAACATGTGGTGTTTGGTTTTTTGTCCTTGCGATAGTTTGCTGAGAATGATAGTTTCCAGCTTCATCCATGTCCCTACAAAGGACATGAACTCATCCTTTTTCATGGCTGCATAGTATTCCATGGTGTATATGTGCCACATTTTCTTAATCCAGTCTATCATTGTTGGACATTTGGCTTGGTTCCAAGTCTTTGCTATTGTGAATAGTGCCTCAATAAACATACGTGTGCATGTGTCTTTATAGCAGCATGATTTATAACCTTTGGGTATATACGCAGTAATGGGATGGCTGGGTCAAATGCTATTTCTAGTTCTAGATCCCTGAGGAATCACCACACCGACTTCCACAATGGTTGAACTCCCATTGTGTTTATAGCCCCACCAACAGTGTAAATAACTTTTAAACTTCAGGAATTACAAAGGCTAGGGCTTTAAAGATTATATAGACCAGTAAATCTATTTCCCTGACCCTGGCATGTTCAAATACCATTAATGTTGTAGGGTAACTTAGATAACCAAGTCTTTCTTTTGATTTTTCAGCTAAGGAAACCAAGACTCAAAGAGTGAACCTGAGAAACTAAACCTTTGTAACTAAGCAATGGTTCTCAATAATGGGTGATTTTGATCTACAAGGGGACAACTGGCAATGTCTAGATATATTTTTTGGTTGTCATAACTACAGGGGTGTTACCTGCATCTAGTGGGTAAAGGCCAGGGATGCAGCTAAATATCCTACAATGTCAGCCTCTACTACCAAAAATTATCCAGCCCAAAATGTCAAAAGTGCTGAGGTTGAGAAACTTTCCAAGCCAGAGAGATCACCCTTGCTTCAGTAATACTTTTAGGATCTCATGCCTGTCATATATCCATAATTATTACATAAGATCCTCATAATCAAAAGTAAACTCATCTCCCATGTCCTTGATGAAGAGAGGGGTTTGGCTGGTTTCATTTCACCACCTTCCTTGGTAATTTATTTTATATTTCCTGACCGAGACTACAAATGGTCTCATTTTTGTACCTATGTTGAGCCAGTGAGGAAGTAGCTATATCAGAGAGATTTGGGGGAGAGGAAGATTTGATTTCTAGGTAACATTTGGGGGTTGCTCATGACAGCTGTACTCAACCCATTCATGGGTGACTGAAGAGTGCCCGAGGAGTGTTATGACACACAAATTGATTTGTTATGGAAACTGGCAGTGGGTGCCACTGGTAAATGAGATTTCAAATGAATGATAAAATGATGATCCAATTTGGAAGTCAACATAATGGTTTTTGCAATGGCCTCTTTTAGGATATCATTTCATAAGCACTAAACAAAATAAACAACCCATCCTTTGAATTCCTTTCTATGATAATTTATCTGAATGAGAAAACTTATAAGAAATGTTGCCACCAGATCTTGTCATTAGCCAATGGGGGAGGAGGGGAAAGTAAGAAGGGACCTATCAAAATCAAGAGATGACAAATCTTGAGAAAAACGTTTAAGATAAAAGTGGTCATTTTATTCCTAATTTGCCTTCCTTTCTTTTGCCTCTCCATTAAGCTTAAATGTCGTATATATTGTTGAACTAAAAAGCCCAAGTAGAAATACAACTTCTCACGTTGACCATGAGCAAGGAGTCAAGACCACCCAGGCTTTAATTTGTTGAATAATATTTTATAATATCAAGTTCCATAATTTTTCTCCAACACTTTGACTTAGTAACTCCCCTTTTGGAACTCTCATCTACTAATTCAAAGTATTGGAGTGAGTGAAGGAAAGTTTCCATATGAAGATCTTATTTCTAGGGCTGCACAATACAGCAAAAATTTGGATGCAACCAAAATGTCTAACAGTTGTAAGTAAATTTTACTGTAGTTAATGTAATGTTGGAACAAAATACAAATATTAGAAGCATGAAGGCTTCAAAGCAATGTGGAAAATTCTTATCATATTAATTAAAAATAAGTGGTTCCAAAATTATAGCTAGATAGGAGGACTAAGTTCTAGTGTTCCATAGCACTATAGGGTGAATATAGTTAACAAAAATTTCTTGTATATGTTTAAAAGCAGTAAGAGAGGATTATGAATGTTCTCAACAAAAAAATGATAAATGTTTGGGGTGATGAATGCCCTAATTACCCTAACTTGATCATTATACATTGTATACATGTATCCAAATATCACTCTGTACTCAGTTAAATATGTACAATTATTATGTCAACTAAAAACAAAAGGAAAAAAATTAATGATCCATAAATGTATGTACAGACTGAGTACTAGTCTAGAAAAATATGCATGTAACAAAGTCTAGAAAAAAATACCAAAATAACAAAAACAATGATAAAAATAAATTCATACATTTATGGTCCATATTGCTTGTTTTACCCTGGGCTTGTCTATAACATAGTTAGAAATATATATATATGTATACATAGTTAAGTTGACTCAGACTCCCTTTTTTCAGCCAAAAGTATACTTTCAATACTAAAAGTACAAATCTGCATTTATAGCAAGTTAGTAGTAACAAGGAAAACTATAGTCAGAATTTTGGAGTGCACAGAAGAATAAGCATTATAATTTAAATTAGGCTGCAACATGGATAAGGTCAGCTGTGTTGAAGCAGTAATGAGTATATGTTAGAAAGTCCCTCCTACGGTTAACTCAGCAATTTCACATTCTCTTCCATTAATGGTCTGATTATATACTCAAGAATTTCACAGAAGAAATTGGCCATGGACTTTATCTATCAAGCCAAACACAGCTTCTTTTCTTCCTTAACATCAAAAGAAATTGGTAGTTCCCCTGCCTATGCTTCACTTTCTGATGCATATAATCATCCAAACATCCCACAAGACAGTTTTCCTTCTTACATTCCCAGTATCAAATACAGTCCAGAAACCTGGGAGTCATCATAGGCTTTTCCCACTTCTTCCTCCCTCACCACCTCAACCAACCAATTATCCAGTCCGGTCAATTGCACCTCCTGAATATCTCTTCATGTGTCTATCTTGTTTTCTGCCCTCCCTCCAACCATGGGCTTCACAAAAGCCTTCTGACTGGTCTCCCTGCCCCAAGTCCCATTCAACATTCACATGTTAAAAGACAGCTGTGATCCCATTACTCCTCTTTTTAAATCTTATCAATGGATTCTTACTGTGTCTGAAATAAACTCCATCCCCTTAGGATGGCTCATAAGGCTCTTTTTTTCTGACCATTGCTTACTTCTGCTACAATTCCCCAATAAGTGCCCAAAAATCAAGTTACATTTTTGCATGGAACACATTTTTCTCAGTGCATTGAGACTTACGTGGAGAAAGTAGAAATATCAGCTTCCTCATTTTAGTCACTATGATAATTTTAACATAATCTAATATCACATTCACGTTTTTAACAGTCATAATTCACATTTAATTCATATTACATTAAAAGTAAAATCTCTAAATATTTGTTATAAATCTTGCAGTTCAGTGATGCCTTTTTGTTTTAACCAAATTCAAGACTTCCCAATTAGCCATTTTAAGTTCCTCTTTTGAGATTTTGCCCAGGATTCCATTTTGCTAAGATCTTTTTAGACACAAAATTTGCAACGTAATGCAATAACTGCTTGTCCCAGCTTTTTGACATCTGAAAATTTCATCAATATAAGACAAAGCAGTATAATTGAAGAACACTACTGACTACTTGTCAAGCATTTAGGACGCCACTGAAATATTTTTCATCTAGGTTTTCACATCTAGGCTTTTACAAAAGTCTTTTGTTATACCCTAGGCTGGGTATAACAATATGCAAGCAAGATGAAAGGATTATGATGATGGTGAAAATGAGGATTAGCTAGTATTTTGTGTCAGACACTGCTAAATTAAGTTTAGCCTAAAGCTGCCTGTATTAGTCCGTTTTCATGCTGCTGATAAAGACATACCCGAGACTGAGCAATTTCAAAAGAAAGAGGTTTGTTGGACTTACAGTTCCACATGGCTGGGAGGCTTCACAGTCATGGTGAAAGGCAAGGAGCCGCAAGTCACGTCTTACATGGATGGCAAGAGGCAAAAAGAGAGAGCTCGTGTAGGGACACCCCCTTATAATAACCATCAGATCTCATGAGACTTACTCACTATCACAAGAACAGCACAGGAAAACCTGCCCCCACAATTCAATTACCTCCCACTGGGTCCCTTCCAAAACATGTGGGAATTCAACATGAGATATGCATGGGGATACAGCCAAACCATATCATTCCACACTTGGCCCCTCCCAAATCTCATGTCCTCACATTTCAAAACCAATCATGCCTTCCTAACAGTCCCCCAAAGTCTTAACTCATTTCTGCATTAACTCAAAAGTCCACAGTCCGAAGTCTCATCTGAGACAAGGCAAGTCCCTTCTGGCTATGAGCCAGTAAAATCAAAAGCAAGTTAGTTACCTCCTAGATATAATGGGGATACAGGCATTGGGTAAATATAGCCATTCTAAATGGGAGAAATTGGCCAAAATGAAGGGGCTACATCCCCCATGCAAGTCTGAAATCCAGCAGAGCAGTCAAATCTTAAAGTTCCAAAATGATCTCCTTTGACTCCATGTCTCACATCCACATCATGCTGATGCAAGAGGTGCGTTTCCATGGTCTTGGGCAGCTCTGCACTTACGGCTCTGCAGGGTACAGCCTCCCTTCTGGCTGCTTTCACAGGCTGGTGTTGAGTGTCTGTGGCTTTTCCAGGCACACGGTGCAAGCTGTCAGTGGATCTACCATTCTGGGGTCTGGAGGACGGTGGCCCTCTTCTCACAGCTTTACTAGGCAGTGCCCCAGTAGGGACTCTGTGTGGGGGTTCCAACCCAACATTTCCCTTCCACACTACCCTAGCAGAAGTTTTCCATGAGAGCCCTGCCCCTGCAGCAAACTTCTACCTGGGCATCCAGGCATTTCCATACATCTTCTGAAATCTAGGCGGAGGTTCCCAAACCCCCAGTTCTTGACTTCTGTGCACTCACAGGCTCAACACCACGTGGAAGCTGCCAAGGCTTGGGGCTTGCACCCTCTGAAGCCATGGCCCGAGCTCTATGTTGGCCCCTTTCAGCCACAGCTGGAGTGACTGGGACACAGGGCACCACGTCCATAGCTACACACAGCACGGGGACCCTGGGCCCACCTGGTCCATTAAACCACTTTTTCCCCTCAGATCTCCAGGCCAATGACAGGAGAGGCTACCATGACAACCTCTGACATGCCCTGGAGACATTTTCCCCATTGTCTTGGGGATTAACATTTGGTTCCTTGTTACTTATGCAAATTTCTTCAGCTGTCTTGAATTTCACCTCAGAAAATAAGATTTTCTTTTCTATCACATTGTCAGGCTGAAAATTTTCCAAATTTTTATGCTCTGTTTCCCTTTTAAAACTGAATGTCTTTAACAGCACCCAAGTCACCTCTTGAATGCTTTGCTGCTTGGAAATTTCTTCCACCACATACCCTAAATTACCTCTCTCAAGTTGAAAGTTCCACAAATCACTAGGGCAGGGGAAAAATGCCACCAGTCTCTTCGCTAAAACATAACAAGAGTCACTTTTGCTCCAGTTCACAACAAGGTCCTCATCTCCATGTGAGACCACCTTAACCTGGACTTCATTGTCCATATCACTATAAGCATTTGGGCAAACCTATTCAACAAGTCCATAGGAAGTTCCATAGTTTCCCACATTTTCCTGTCTTCTTCTGAACCCTCCAAAATGTTCCAACCCCTGCCTGTTACCCAGTTCCAAAGTCACTTCCACATTTTTGGGTATCTTTTCAGCAGAATCCTATTCCTGGTACCAATCTACTGTACAATTTCATGCTGCTGATTAAGACATATCCAAGACTGGGCAATTTACAAAAGAAAGAGGTTTATTGGACTTACGGTTACCACATGGCTGAGGAGGCTTTACAACCATGGTGGAAAGCAAGGAGCAGCAAGTCATGTCATACATGGATGGCAGCAGGCAAAAAGAGAGAGGGCTTGTGCAAGGAAACTCCTCCTTACGATAACCATCAGATCTCATAAGACTTACTCACTATCACAAGAACAGCATGGGACAAACCTGTCCCTATGATTCAATTACCTTCTATCAAGTCCCTCCCACAACACATGGGAATTCAAGGTGAGATTTGGGTGAGGACACAGCCAAACTATATCACTGCCTCCTTAGGTATTTCAAGTGCAGCCTAAAGACCTCTTTGTATATAGTGAACTGTAACCTAACTGGATGTGTAAAGAGACTGTAACTTACTCTTGTGTCAGTCACTTTGGCTGGTTTCGGCCAATCAAAGGCAGCCAACTGTTCAAACCATGTTCAAATAAGGCAAACACCAAGCTATAACCAATCCAGCTGTTTCTGTACCTCACTTCCATTTTCTGTACATCTCCTTTTTCTGTCCATAATTTTTTTTTCAGTGACAGTGCCTGTGCTGAAGTCTCTCCGAATCCATTCTGGTTTGGAGGCTGCCCAATTCCCAAATCGTTTTTCTCTCAATTAAATTTTACTAAATTTAATTTGTCTGATGTTTTTCTTTTAACAACACTCTAAGTGCTTTATATACATGTACTCTGCAGGAGGTACAATCATTAGCCCCCTTTTCTTTCTGATGACTACACTAAAAATTTTAAAAGCATAAATAATTTACCCAAAGTGCAGTCAATAAATGATGGAGTTAGCATGCAGAAATGCTAAAGTCCATGTAAATATTAATTATCTTCTTCCTTCTGAGTCATCCAATGTTCAGACAATTGTTTATTTCACTAATTTTCTACTTATGGGAGTTAAGCTTGTTTGCACATTGTTATCACTAACAAGCAATGACTTTCTTGTATATGTATGTTTGTGTAGTTCTGGAATTAAATTTCTGGAAGATTTCAGAGTCAAAGGTCATGAAGGCCCATCATGGTGGCTCAAGACGTAATCCAAGCAATTTGAGAGGCCAAGGTGGGAGGACTGCTTGAGCTGAAGAGTTTGAGATCAGCCTAGGCAACATACCAAGACCCTGTCTCTATAGAAATTTTTTTTTCAATAAATAAGCCAGATGTGGTGGTGTGTACCTGTAGGCCCAGTCGCTTAGAAGGCTGAGGCAGGAGGATCACTTGAGCCCAGGAAGTCAAGACTGCAGTGAGCCATGATTTGTACTACTACACTCCAGCCTGGGTGACAGAGAGAGATCTTGTCTCTAAAAATAATTTTTTTTTAAGTTCATGAATTTTAAAATTTGAATATGGCTAGTTTGTGCTTTAGCTTTTATTTTCAAATTTTTATTTATTTATTTACTTATTTTTTTGAGACAGGGTCTTTCTCTGTTACCCAAACTGGACTACAATGGCACAAACATGGCTCACTGCAGCCTCAACTTCCCAGGCTCAAGTGATCCTCCTGCCTCAGCCTCCCTTGTAGCCAAAACCTCAGGTGGGTCCAACCACACCTAGCTAATTTTTTGATTTTTTGATAGAGACAAGGTCTCACTATGTTGCCCAGGCTGGTCCTGACTTCCTAGGCTCAAGCGAACCTCCTGCCTCAGCCTCCCAAAGTGTTGAAATTACAGACATGCACCACCACACCCAGCCCATGTGCAATAACTTTTTTCTTTCTTTTGAGACAGAGTCTCCCTCTGTCACCCAGGCAGGAGTGCAGTGGTGTGATCTTGGCTCACGGTCACCTCCACCTCCCAGGTTCAAGCGATTCTCCTGCCTCAGCCTCCCAAGTAGCTGGGACTGCAGGCACCTGCCACCATGCCCAGCTAATTTTTGTATTTTTAGTAGAGATGGGGTTTCACCATATTGGTTAGGCTGGTCTCAAACTCCTGACCCTCTGATTCACCTGCCTCAGCCTCCCAAAGTGCTGGGATTACAGGTGTGAGTCACCACGCCCAGCCATGCAATCACTTTTATAATTAAAAACATTAGGGCCAGGTGCAGTGGCTCACATCTATAATCCCAGCACTTTGGGAGGCCAAGGACGGTAGGTCACTTGAGGTCAGGAGTTCGAGACCAGCCTGGCCAACATGGTGAAACCCCGTCTCTACTAAAAATACAAAAATTAGCTAGGAGTGGTGGTGCTTGCCTGTAGTCCCAGGTACTCAGGAGACTGAGGCAGAAGAATCGCTTGAACCTGGGAGGTGGAGATTGCAGTAAGCCGAGATCACACCATCGCACTCCAGCCTGGGTGACAAGAGCTAAACCTCATCACAAAAAAAAAAAAAAAAAAAAAAAATTAAAACTTTTAAGAATTGTATAGAACATATGTTATGTATCTCCTTAGATTCCTTCAGATATGTCAGCTCCTGGATCCCCAGTTGTGAACTTTGCCTTAGGTGCCACCAGTTCTTGTTGGGCCCTTGTTGCACCCCTTGGGACTGACCAGTCAAATTCCTAAAAGGACCTTCTTCTTTGCTGCTACTAGAGAGCAAAGCCAACCATCCTTCCACCTCAAGTTTCTGGCTTCTCCCACCATTTCTGGACTTGGATGAGTGGCTGCAGAAGGGACCAGATGGTGCAACCTGAACATGTCAGTTTAACCTTCTGGGTACACACTTGGACTAACAGGAAACAGGAAGGTAGGGTGGTGCACAGCATGCAGATAAATGCTCTCGCCTTCCTTTTCAACTATGTACAGCCTATCCAGCAATAGCCCACATAGCTGAGTGGACCTCCTTGACTGCTTTGACCATTGCAGCAATGCAACACTCTGCATTCCTTTCCATTGCCCTGTCTCTCACTTTTATGGTTTTTTTTTGTTTGTTTGTTTATTTGTTTGGTCGCTGGTAGTTTTCTGGCTTATCTGAGAAAATAAAGTTTATGAAAATGTTTTGTAAACTATACATCATTTTGAAAAGGGAAAGTATTTTTATTATTGTGATTTTTGTTGTTTTCAGGAATACTTGGGGGTAGATAGCCAGAATTTCATTTGGAACAAAATAATTAAGATGGGCCCTATTTAAATTTTACTACTCTTTATCAGTCTGAGGAGTTTGAAACATTTTGTATCTTTCCGATTCTGTCTGCCTTCGGGGAGGTGTAGTTAATTATAAGCTTCATAGAAATACCAGCAGTACATTTCAGCATGCTCCTAAAGAGGGCATGTTGGAATAAGGAGGAGGATCATGTTCTTACATACTCCAGTGGACTCAGATCCAGCAGGATGCATACCCTAGCATGCAGTTCTATGGGGAGATTAGAATACGAAAGGAGGAGGAAGTAGGATGAAAGACAACTAGGATAAAAGAAAAATCAAGGACTTCCTGACCCTGCCCTACTTTCAAAGAATTATCTTCTATTTTACCAGATGTTACCTTTTCCAGTTTCATACACACACACATACACAACCAACATTTCCGGAAGCCTAAATCATCATCTCCTTCTTCTGTGTTCTCTTATGGCACCCACTTCTTTCCATACTCTGCTGTTATTGCTTACTTAATTATCTGCCTTTGTGGCTGGACTATAAACTGTAGAAGACATGGAAGTTGTCAGTTCTACTCCCTGTCATATTCTTGGCACTTAACATATTGCAGGATTTAAAAAGAAAAACGTTTCTTGAATGGATAATGCAAGAAAGAATGAATGAAGAATGTAGATGAAATGGCTATTATCTGCCCTTGGTTATGTGCTTTTAGTTGTATATACATAAACCCAGTCACAAACTTCAGCTTAAAACAAAGTAGATAACTAGTAAATATATGTTGACTAATTGATGAAACAAACATTTATATAAAAACCTCTAATTATTGGCTTCCAACAACAGGATTCAAGGTATTCTAAAAAGTTCTCATTTACATTTAGGGAACACAAGCATATAAACAGAATTATTGCTTACTGTTAGAAATAGAGATGATTCTTAAGGCTGCTCTATTAGATTGCAGAAATGGTGAAGAATGTTGAAGACTTGAACCGTCATTGGCCTCTTACAGTGAGACAGAAATAATACAGGGCAGTCACAGGAGAATAGAAAATTCCAGGCAGCAGTGCCACACTGATGGCAGGGGCGGGCCGTCCAGAGCAGCCACTGCCATCATGCTGGCTGAAGCAGCGAAGCGCAGGCGGTGGCAGCTGGAGAAGCTGCGGGAGCAGCTGTGGCGATGGTCGGACTCCTGTGCCCTGTACCCTGAGGCAGCCGACTGCACCGCCCCCAACATTGCGTGACTGGGCAGGACCCACTCCTAGGCCCAGAGCCTCCGCAGCTCTGGCCCCTGTCCCCATGTTGCTGCTCTCACCAACCACCACTGCGGGAACGGTGCAGGCAGGAGGCGGACAGTCTCCAGAGCCTGCCTCTGGGAGCCTCCTGGAGCCTGCCACCCCGGCAACTGCCACGATGGGGCCGGGCTGAGCTGCCAGCCGTCAGGAGAGCAGCACGGTATGGTACAGAGGAACTCTCAGAGGGGGACCCAGCGAGGACCTGGAGCCCCCACCCCAGACTGCAAGGAGGTGTGGTCTGGGCTGCACACTCCATGGAGCCAGCGGGAACCAGGGACAAGTGAGAGCCTCGCCCCTTCTGATTTGGCAGAGCGGGAGCTCCACAGGTGCAGCTGCAGCCTCCCTGCCATGGCTCAGGACCCGGGCATCTCTGTTCTTGGGGGCCCAGGAAGGGAGCCGGCACTTCCCCCTGCGGGCCCGGAAGTGCCTGCTCCCACTGCCTGCCTTCTCCCCGCTGTCAACGCCCACTCCAATCTCAGAGTAAAGTCAGGGCTGAGCCTGGGCAATGTCACAGCCTGGCCAGATATGCACACAGTCGGGGTAGAGCTGACATGCCAGACGCCTGCCGGCTTGGCCCCCTCAGGACTTTGTGCACCAACAAGCATGGGAGGGAGGCTAAGGGGGTGCTGAGGACAGCTGATGCTGGCCTTCAGGCTTCCCTTAGCATGAACAGCCTGGGTGTGGAGAACAGCGGCAGGAGGCAGTTTCCTGGGCGAAGGAGGCAGGTCCCTAGTGAAGCCCCACCTTTAAGCCAGGGAGGGCCTGAAGCCTGGGGGCTGGGCCACGAGACCCCCAGACCAGAGGGGGAGCTTGTGGTGCTTTTGCCTGGGCCCACCCATGGCTGCTCATGGATCAATCAGCACCCGCTTCCTCCCCTCTGAGGCCAATAAACACCCCATCCCTTGACTTGAGCAGAGGACAGAGAGGATAGGAAACAAGGGGGAGATGAAGGGATGACCAGCTGCAGAGAAGAATTACCTTCTCTGCTGAGAGCTGGACACTCATCAGGATGACCTGCCTAGCAGAGAGGAACCACCCTCTTTGCTGTGAGCTGAAGAAACAATGGGACAACCAGCTGCAGAGAGCAAGTACCCTCTCTACTAAGAGCTGCACACTTGTTGGGACACCCTGACTATGGAGAGGAGCTGCCTACTGTGGGCCCTCTGAGCTATTCCATTGCTCAATAACGCTCCTCTTCATCTTGCTCATCCTCCACTTGTCTGTGAACCTCATTCTTCCTGGATGCAAAACAAGAACTCGGGACCTGCTGAATGGTGAGGCTGAAAGATCTGTAACACAAACAGGGTTGAAACATGCCCCTTGCTTGCCATGTTGGGAGTGAAGAGCAGAAGAGAAGAGCTGTGGCCCTTCAGGGATCTCAGACCTGGGAGCTCCCTGGGCCAGGGATGTGACTCCATCTTTGGGGCCCCCAGCAGTTCCTGGCATCTCCAAACTTCAGGGTGCCACCATATTCCCCAGTGCCAGCCAGGGAAGCTGCTTGTGGTGTAGCCGGTCCAGCCACAGCTCGGCCAAGAGCCCGTGTCCATGCCAGCACCTGGAGCTGCCCACCCTATAGCATCAGCCAGCGTGTCTGACTGTGCAACGGCCAGACCACAAACTGCTCACAGGCCAGCCCGCATGCTGCTCACACACCCCTCACTGCTCCATGCTTGACTCTCCCTTGGCAGGCATGGGATCCAGGCCAGTAGCATGAGCCAAGTCCAGCCTGCCAGGTCGAGTGAGCGGAACAAGCCCAGAGGGCCCAAGCAAAACTTGGGCAAAGATGCCTCCAGCCACAGAGGTTTCCAGCCAGAAAAGCGACACCCCAAAGATCCCATAAAAACATGAATAGCAAAAGGAAACCTGAAATAGCTGCACAAGCTGGGGCTGAAAAAGACCCTGAAAAATAGTTTGTGGACCAAGCTCGCTAAGACCGACTAGATCCAACATGGTGCTGGATTTGACCTAGGTTTCTCCTAGAATGTCATTATATGCTCATTAACATATTAACACTCATGGACACCATGACAGTTCGGGGAACACCCATATTTGGTGTAAAAATGGGTGGCATCATAATTCTGAGAAATTCCCACTTTTTCCAGGAATCTTTATGAATATTCTACCCCTTGATTAAAGAAAAACCCATAAAGGTAGCAGCTGTAAATGTCTTTGCACATGACTCTCTCTTGAGTGTGCCTGTCCTCCCCTTTCTTGAGGGTGTACCTTTCACTTTGCAATAAATCTCTGTACTTCCCCTATTTTCTGACTCATCCTTGAATTCCTTCTCACGATGGTGTCAAGAGCCTGGACAATAGCTGGGTTCAAGGTCCTACCAGTGTTTGGGGACCTCCCCCAGCCCACTGGTATCAATAGTCAAAGGGGATATTATGGTTTGGGGTGCACCCCATTTTATGCAGAGAGAATACCCCATGACAACTCTTCATATCCTGGACTCTGCCCTTCTCAGAACATTTGTATGGAAATGCTACTCCAAGCATCCCAGGTTGAGTCAATCCTTTTTCCCTACACGACAAGATAAATAAAACTCTGGATTAAGTCAATGCTTTCTTTGATTTTGTTTGTCTGTTCCTTAAGAGTATCTGGCTTATGCATTTACAACAGTCACATGGGAGAGTAAGATTTACAGAGATAAACCATCTTTTCTTCTTCTTTGTCATTTGAAGTCAAATTATTTTTAAAAGATCATAGGTCTTTTGAGGCTCATAGGATTATCCCAAGTGCCAGATCTCCTCCTTATTTTTCATAGAAGGAACAATTTTCTACGATGGGCGTTTAAATTTCATGGTTCCCAGGGCTTTTCTAATCCCAGGAAAGATCCCTGCTGGCAACCTTATTAGCATCTCTGCCTCTTGATTTTTATTTAATTCCTTTTAATATTCTATCATGATGCTGACAGACATTATAGAACTGAGGGTAACAGAATGAGGACAATATTTTACTACATAATTAAGACTGCAGTGAGTTAATAAACTGCTCATAGTGTGCTTTGAGATCATATCCGAAGAAGTTTTTCTAAAAACAAAACAAAAGAGACAACAGCAAGGCATCACTTGAATTGCAGTTAATAAGGAATGACAGAGTGTCAACATAAATGGCCCAAATAGTATTTCTACTAAAATGATAGATTAGCATCCGGATTTCTCTCTTTTTTTTTTTTTCCTTGTTTTCTTTTTCTTTGAGACAGGTCTTGCTCTGTTGCCTGGGAGTGCAGTGACATGATCTCAGTTCACCGTAACCTCAGCCTACCAAGTAGCTGGAACCACAAGCACGTGCCACCATGGTCGGCTGATTTTAATTTTTTTTGTAGAGATGGGTCTGCCTATATTGCCCAGGCTGGTCTCAAACTTCTGGACTCAGGCTATTCTCCCACCTCAGCCTCCCAAATTGTTGGGATAACAGGCATGAGCCATTGCGCCCAGCAGCATCTGGATTTCATATTTGTATTTTCAAAGAAATAAAATGGCATTCCAATGGCAAAACAGGCATTTGGAAAATTGTCCTCTTTTCCAAGACTTTGAGAAGGGAAAGGTATTAGAGAATATGGGAGTGAAAAAAAAAAACAGTTTATGTAACATTAAAATGTTGGCATAGATCAACAAAGTATCTCATACTAGGAATTATTTATTTTCAACTTTTAAATCATATTTATCATACATACAGCATCTCATTGTCATTAAAAAAATTTCTGGGAACAATGTCCTTGCCTTAACAGAAAAGTTGGAGCTCCCCAACTTCCTATGCTTGACCCTTCACTCTTTCCAATCTACCTCACCTCTTTGACCAAGGGTGTTCAAAATCCATGTTTCTCAAATTTATGGGAAAAATGGATCACCTGGAGATCTGGTTAAAATGCAGATTCAGTAGGTGGGGCCTGGGAGTCTGCATTTCTAACAAATCCCAGATGCTGCTGATGCTCTGCTCCAGGGTCTATACCACCACTTGTGAGACAGAGCATCCTAAGAAGATTAGCATCCCATGCAGTCACAGAAGATTTAGACTGCTTAATCCAATACACATTTAATGAGATGCTTCATTCTTCTTGTGCTAATTGATAAGTAGGCAGAAATAGTCAGGGATTTACAGCCTCCATTTGATTTTCACAAAGTCAAGCCAAGCACTTCTGAGCTGATTTAAGAGCAAAAACTAGGAGACTGTGAAGGGCCCTCTAGAGATCCTGGAATCAATAAGTTAAGGCATGATCTCTTAATCTTCTTGGGGGCATTGCTCATCCTTTTAAGAATACCTTTAGAAATACAGGTATTCTCCCCAGAAAACTTACACAGAGCCAACAAATAATTTTATATATATCTGTTCTTAAACTCTTGAAAGTCCACATACGAAGACTGTTCAAAGATACTGATTTAAAATACCCTGACCTGGGAGTGTCCCAGGAGCTAGAGAAAACAAAGAAACAAAGACATCTTTAAACTCTCAATGGGATATTAGACAGTTTCTTGTAGTAGAATTAAGCTAATTACCTAAAAGCATGGATGAAGAAAAAAAAAGTAAAAGTGGGAGCATAAGGAGAATTTGAGACTTCATGACAAAAGCCATGGGGAATTTTCTATCCCAAAGAAGATCAGAAGCAAGAGAAGAAAAACAAAAACTTGTCTCAAAACCATCTCACCTTTTACATCTGGTCTGACTATCCTGCCTCAGTCTCTCAGTAACTGGTCTCTGGGCAGCTGGGCTCTGAATGTCCGGGGACACTTGAAAAAAAGGTAGATTCCTGGACCATGCCCCAGATCAAGATACCTCTGGACACAGAGTTCAGACTTTCTTGCAATTTAAACATTTGCAATTTCTAAACTCCACAAGTGATTCTCATGCACACTAAGGTTTGAGGTGGTCCTCAATCTCTCCTCAGATTACATTAATGAAAGAAAGACACCTCCTCCCCCATTCAAAGATCAAAAAAAAGATCAAAATTATATTCCTCTAAAGGTTATCTGTAAAAATGATTCTGAGAATAGTGATCTAAAATATTTTTGAGTTGTGCTCATAATTAGAATAGCCTTTTAAATTCAGCAATCTTGGAGAAATTTAAATCTGTTTCCTTCCCTGCCTCAACTCTTCATGCCTTTCTTTCTCTTCTCCTAGAAGAAGGCTCACAAATTGTCTTCTTCCCCTTCCCTTCTCTGGGACTTCACATACAAATTAACTAAAACATAGATTAGGCAGCACAGGAATTTTGACAGATAGAATAAATGAGTGGATAATAAAAGAAATGTCTAAATGATACATATAGACATTACTTTGATGTAGCTAAGCCTATAAATACAGGTATATGGATATTAGTGTCTATGAAAGCCAAAATCTGTGGTTCTCAACCCTGGCTGTATATTACACTTCATAAAAGCTTAGAGTCTTAATCTTAGACCCCAAAGTTTCTAATTAGGAAGGTTGGAATAAAATGATTATGGTTAAGAGTTGGAGCCTAAGTGTCTTTATCTAAAATAGAAAAAGAAAACCACCATTAATGATCCTGTTAATCAATAAAAATACAAACAGTAAACATGTATTGAGTTTTTACTATGAAAATGGTGATAAATGTTTTGTAGGCAGTAGCTCATTCAGTCTTTATAGCATCTCCATGAAGTAGGAACTATGAGGAGCACCATGTCTACCACTAAAGCTCATAAAAGTCAGGAACTGTCTCAAGGTCACAACTGTGAAATGTAGAGCTCTCCCTGGAACTCTACATCTGACACAGGAGCCCATATTAAACAATAAACTCTGCTTTCCTGTATACATCTATTATTAAAAACCATTGATATGGATACATGTTTGTGTATATATGTGTGATATATACATATACTTGTGTGTTGGAGAGAAAGAATCTGTGTGTGTGTGTGTCTGTATCCTGATACAGAGGCAATTCTGCAGCTCAGGACACTTTTAGGGAGGAGAAGTGTCCCATCTGGGCTGCGCAAGTCCAAAGAACTGTGTGAGAGCCATGGTTCTCTGATGAGACAAGGAGAGAAGTCAAGAGGAAGTGAAATGAGAAAAGGAAGCAACCTAGGAGGTTCCCTGCTATAAAAAAAATTGGCTGTTTCACTGAAGATCTACTCTGCTCCTTATTCACCCTGCTGATGGAGAGCTGCCACTTAATGTATTACATTCCTCTCAGCCCTCTTTGTATACTCTAGAAAGGTGAAATAAAGACCAGCAAGAATAAAATGAAAAGGAGAGGGGGAAATAGTGGATAGAACAGCCAAAGTCACTTGAAAACTACCTAATTGGTTCTAAAAGCAGAGCACTTTCTCCCTAGAAAAATGTGCATACTCAAGAAAAATTAGGGTTCCAAGATGGCCAAACAGGAACAGCTCCAGTCTACAGCTCCCAGTGTGACTGATGCAGAAGACGGGTGATGTATGCATTTCCAACTGAGGTACCGGGTTCATCTCACTGGGGCTTGTAGGACAGTGGGTGCAGGACAGTGAGTGCAGCCCAACGAGGTGAGCCAAAGCAGGGCGAGGCATCACCTCACCTGGGAAGTGCAAGGGCTCAGGGAATTTCCTTTCCTAGGCAAGGGAAGCTGTGACAGATGGCACCTGGAAAATTGGGTCACTCCCACACTAATACTGCGCTTTTCCAATGTCTTAGCAAATGGCACGCTAGGAGATTATATCCCGCGCCTGGCTCAGAGGGTCCCACGCCCATGGAGCCTCGCTCATTGCTAGCACAGCAGTCTGAGATCGAACTGCAAGGCAGCAGCGAGGCTGGGGGAGGGGCACCCACCATTGCTGAGGCTTGAGTAGGTAAACAAAGCTGCCAGGAAGCTCAAACTGGGTGGAGCCCAAGGCAGCTCAAGGAGGCCTGCCTGCCTCTGTAGACTCCACCTCTGGAGGCAGGGCATAGCCAAACAAAAGGCAGCAGAAATCTCTGCAGAATTAAATGTCCCTGTCTGACAGCATTGAAGACAGTAGTGGTTCTCCTAGCATGGAGTTTGAGATCAGAGAACGGACAGACTTCCTCCTCAAGTGGGTCCTTGACCCCTGAGTAGCCTAACTGGGAGGCACCCCCCAGTAGGGGCAGACTGACACGTCACATGGCTGGGTACCCCTCTGAGACAAAGCTTCCAGAGGAACGATCAGGCAGCAACATTTGCTGTTCAGCAATATTCGCTGCTCTGCAGCCCCTGCTGCTGATACCCAGGCAAACAGGGTCTGGAGTGGACGTCCAGCAAACCGCAACAGACCTGCAGCTGAGGGTCCTGACTGTTAGAAGGAAAACTAACAAACAGAAAGGATATCCACACCAAAACCCCATCTGTACGTCACCATCATCAAAGACCAAAGGTAGTTAAAACCACAAAGATGGGGAAAAAACAGAGCAGGAAAGCTGAAAATTCTAAAAATCAGAGTGCCTCTCCCCCTCCAAAGGAACGCAGCTCCTCGCCAGCAATGGAACAAAGCTGGACAGAGAATGACTTTGACGATTTGAGAGAAGAAGGCTTCAGACGATCAAACTTCTCCGAGCTAAAGGAGGAAATTCAAACCCATCGCAAAGAAGCTAAAAACCTCGAAAACAGATTAAACAAATGGCTAACTAGAATAACTAGTGTAGAGAAGTCCTTAAAGGACCTGATGGAGCTGAAAACCATGGCACGAGATCTATGTGACAGATGCACAAGCTCCAGTAGGCAATTCGATCAACTGGAAGAAAAGGTATCAGTGACTGAAGATCAAATGAATGAAATGAAGGGAGAAGAGAAGTTTAGAGAAAAAAGAGTGAAAACAAACAAACAAAGCCTCCAAGAAATATGGGACTATGTGAAAAGACCAAATCTACATCTGATTGGTGTACCTGAAAGTGATGGGGTGAATGGAACCAAGTTGGAAAACACTCTGCAAGATATTATCCAGGAGAACTTCCCCAACCTAGCAAGGCAGGCCAACATTCAAATTCATGAAATACAGAGAACGCCACAAAGATATTCCTTGAGAAGAGCAACTCGAAGACACATAATTGTCAGATTCACCAAAGTTGAAATGAAGGAAAAAATGTTAAGGGCAGCCAGAGAGAAAGGTCGGGTTACCCACAAAGGGAAGCCCATCAGACTAACAGCAGATCTCTCGGCAGAAACTCTACAAGCCAGAAGAGAGTGGGGGCCAACATTCAACATTCTTAAAGAAAAGAATTTTCAACCCAGAATTTCATATCCAGCCAAACTAAGCTTCATAAATGAAGGAGAAATAAAATCCTTTACAGACAAGCAAATGCTGAGAGATTGTGTCACCTCCAGGCCTGCCCTACAAGAGCTCCTGAAGGAAGCACTAAACATGGAAAGGAACAACCAGTACCAGCCACTGCAAAAACGTGCCAAATTGTAAAGACCATCGATGCTAGGAAGAAACTGCATCATCTAATGAGCAAAATAACCAGTTAACATTATAATGACAGGATCAAATTCACACCTAACAATATTAACCTTAAATATAAATGGGCTAAATTCTCCAATTAAAAGACACAGACTGGCAAATTGGATAAAGAGTCAAGACCCATCCGTGTGCTGTATTCAGGAGACCCATCTCACGTTCAGAAACACAAATAGGCTCAAAATAAAGGGATGGAGGAAGATCTACCAAGCAAATGGAAAACAAAAAAGGCAGGGGTTGCAACCCTAGTCTCTGATAAAACAGACTTTAAACCAACAAAGATCAAAAGAGACAAAGAAGGCTATTACATAATGGTAAAGGGATCAATTCAACAAGAAGAGCTAACTATCCTAAATATATATGCACCCAATACAGGAGCACCCAGATTCATAAAGCAAGTCCTTAGAGACCTACAAAGAGACTTAGACTCCCACATAATAATTATGGGAGACTTTAACACCCCACTGTCAACATTAGACAGACCAACAAGACAGAAAGTTAAAAAGGATATCCAGGAATTGAACTCAGTTCTGCACCAAATGGACCTAACAGACATCCACATAACCATCCACCCCAAATCAACAGAATATACATTCTTCTCAGCACCACATCGTACTTAGTCCATAGTTGGAAGTAAAGCACTTCTCAGCAAATGTAAAAGAACAGAAATTATAACAAACTGTCTCTCAGACCACAGTGCAATCAAACAAGAACTCAGGATTAAAAACTCACTCAAAACCGCTCAACTACATGGAAACTGAACAAGCTGCTCCTGAATGACTACTGGGTACATAACGAAATGAAGGCAGAAATAAAGATGTTCTTTGAAACCAATGAGAACAAACACACAACATACCAGAATCTCTGGGACACATTTAAAGCAGTGTGTAGAGGGAAATTTATAGCACTCAATGCCCACAAGAGAAAGCAGGAAAGATCTAAAACTGACACCCTAACATCACAATTGAAAGAACTAGAGAAGCAAGAGCAAACACATTCAAAAGCTAGCAGAAGGCAAGAAATAACTAAGATCAGAGTAGAACTGAAGGAGATAGAGACACAAAAAACCCTTCAAAAAATCAGTGAATCCAGGAGCTGGTTTTTGGAAAAGATCAACAAAATTGATAGACTGCTAGCAAGACTAATAAAGAAAAAAAGAGAGAAGAATCAAATAAACGCAATAAAAAATGATAAAGGGGATATCACCACCGATCCCACAGAAATACAAACTACCATCAGAGAATACTACAAACAACTCTACACAAATAAACTAGAAAATCTAGAAGACATGGATAAACTCCTGGACACATGCACCCTCCCAAGACTAAACCAGGAAGAAGTTGATTCCCTGAATAGACCAATAACAGGCTCTGAAATTGAGGCAATAATTAATAGCCTATCCACCAAAAAAAGTCCAGGACCAGACGGATTCACAGCCAAATTCTACCAGAGGTACAAGGAGGAGCTGGTACCATTCCTTCTGAAACTATTCCAATCAATAGAAAAAGAGGGAATCCTCCCTAACTCATTTTATGAGGCCAGCATCATCCTGCTACCAAAGCCTGGCACAGACACAACAAAAAAAGAGAATTTTAGACCAATATCCCTGATGAACATTGATGCAAAAATCCTCAATAAAATACTGGCAAAGCAAATCCAGCAGCACATCAAAAAGCTTATCCACCATGATCAAGTGGGCTTCATCCCTGGGATGCATGGCTGGTCCAACATATGCAAATCAATAAACATAATCCAGCATATAAACAGAAGCAAAGACAAAAACCACAGGATTATCTCAATAGATGCAGAAAAGGCCTTTGGCAAAATTCAACAGCCCTTCATGCTAAAAACTCTCAAGAAATTAGGTATTGATGGGACATATCTCAAAATAATAAGAGCTATTTATGACAAACCCACAGCCAATATCATACTGAATGGGTGAAAACTGGAAGCATTCCCTTTGAAAACTGGCACAAGACAGGGATGCCTCCTATTCAACATAGTGTTGGAAGTTCTGACCAGGGCAATCAGGCAGGAGAAAGAAATAAAGGGTATTCCATTAGGAAAAAAGGAAGTCAAATTGTCCCTGTTTGCAGATGACATAATTGTATATTTAGAAAACCCCATCGTTTCAGCCCAAAATCTCCTTAACCTGATAAGCAACTTCAGCAAAGTCTCAGGATACAAAATCAATGTGCAAAAATCACAAGCATTCTTATACACCAATAACAGACAAACAGAGAGCCAAATCATGAGTGAACTCCCATTCACAATTGCTTCAAAGAGAATAAAATACCTAGGAATCCAATTTACAAGGGATGTGAAGGACCTCTTCAAGGAGAACTACAAACCACTGCTCAATGAAATAAAAGAGGATACAAACAAATGGAAGAACATTCCATGCTCATGGATAGGAAGAATCAATGTCATGAAAATGGCCATATTGCCCAAGGTAACTTATAGATTCAATGTCATCCCCATCAAGCTACCAATGACTTTCTTCACAGAATTGGAAAACACTACTTTAAAGTTCATATAGCACCAAAAAAGAGCCCGCATTGCCAAGACAATCCTAAGCCAAAAGAACGAAGCTGGAGGCATCACACTACCTGACTTCAAACTATACTACAAGGCTACAGTAACAAAAACAGCATGGTACTGGTACCAAAAAAGATATATAGACCAATGGAACAGCACAGAGGCCTCCGAAATAACACCACTCATCTACAACCATCTGATCTTTGACAAACCCAACAAAAGCAATGGGGAAAAGATTCCCTATTTAATAAATGGTGCTGGGAAAACTGGCTAGCCAGACGTAGAAAGCTGAAACTGGATCCCTTCCTTACACCTTATATAAAAATTCATTCAAGATGGATTAAAGACTTAAATGTTAGACCTAAAGCCATAAAAACCCTAGAAGAAAACCTAGGTGATACCATTCAGGACCTAGGCAATACCATTCAGGACATAGGCGTGGGCAAGGACTTCCTGTCTAAAACACCAAAAGCAATGGCAACAAAAGCCAAAATTGACAAATGGGATCTAATTAAACTAAAGAGCTTCTGCACAGCAAAAGAAACTACCATCAGAGTGAACAGGCAACCTACAGAATGGGAAAAAATGTTTGCAATCTACTCATCTGACAAAGGGCTAATATTCAGAATCTACAAAGAACTCAAACAAATTTACAAGAAAAAAACAACCACATCAAAAAGTGGGCAAATGATATGAACAGACACTTCTCAAAAGAAGACATTTATGCCGCCAACAGACACATGAAAAAATGCTCATCATCACTGGCCATCAGAGAAATGCAAATCAAAACCACAATGACATACCATCTCACACCAGTTAGAATGGCGATCATTAAAAAGTCAGGAAACAACAGGTGCTGGAGAGGATGTGGAGAAATAGGAACTGTTTTACACTGTTGGTGGGACTGTAAACTGGTTCAACCATTGTGGAAGACAGTGTGGCGATTCCTCAAGGATCTAGAACTAGAAATGCCATTTGACTCAGCCATCCCATTACTGGGTATATAACCAAAGGATTATAAATCCTGCTGCTATAAAGACAGATGCACATGTGTGTTTATTGTGGCACTATTCACAATAGCAAAGAGTTAGAACCAACCCAAATGTCCATCAATGATAGACTGGATTAAGAAAATGTGGCACATATACACCAAGGAATACTATGCAGCTATAAAAAAGGATGAGTTCATGTCCTTTGTAGGGACATGGATGAAGCTGGAAACCATCATTCTCAGCCAACTGTTGCAGGGACAAAAAACCAAACACCACAAGTTCTCACTCATAGATGGGAATTGAACAATGAGAACACTTGGACACAGGAAGGGGAACATCACACACCGGGGACTGTTGCGGGGGTGGGGAGGGGGGAGGGATAGCATTAGGAGATATCCCTATTGTAAATGACGAGTTAATGGGTGTAGCACACCAACATGGCACATGTATACATATGTAACAAACCTGCCTGTTGTGCACATGTACCCTAGAACTTAAAGTATATAAAAAAAAAAGTACAAGAAAAAAAAGAAAAATTGCATAAAATTTTTAAGGGCTTCACATTACACTGGGTCACCCTGGTCTGGGTGATCCATAAGTCCCTTGGATACCCAGCAAAAAACTTGGTCAACATAATGTAGCAGAAACCACACCTATCTTTTAGTTCCAATTCTGTCTTCCTATTATAAATAAGAAAATTGTGACCCAGAGAGGTTAAGTGGCTCACCTGTTGCTGCAGATCTGCTTAATTACAGCCAAGTGCAGAAGGTGGGTCTCCTGCTTCCAAAGCCCAGGTCCCCTTTTACCAACCACATTCTACTAGACAGAAAGCACGAGGTAAAAGCAAAGATCCCAGCAACATATCTGTCTGGCTTCAAATCCTGGCTCAGAAAACTTCTAGCTGTGGGACCTTGAGCAAGTTACTTAACTTCTCTGTCTCAGTGGTCTCATTTGTAAAATAGGAATAATGAGAATAATAATGAAACTGATTTTGTAGTGCTTTGTTGTACAATAGCAGACATGAAGTAATTTAAGATATGTAAAGGGCTTAGCACACAATAAGTATGATAGATGTGTTTGTTATCATTATTGCTACCTTAACATTGTGTATTATAATACTGGAGCAGCCTTAATCAGCACTCATACATGCCATGAGTCTCAAATTTGTCTTCCAAGATGTTCCAAGAAAATCTGAAACTTTTCATTTTCCTCATCATGAGGTGGAGAGAAAATAAGAACTGTTATAACATATTTAGGGCTTTACCACATGGCAATATGGAGACAGAAATAAAAACCTTCCCTAATTCTTGGAGATAATTTTGTGTTTTCTTGTGTGACCCAGTTTATTAGCTTGAATAGTATCTTGCCCAATGCCCAAATTTATCTCCTTATCAGAATGTCAGAATATGAGCTTATTTGGAAATAGGTTCACTACAGATATAATTAATTAAGTTAAGATGAGGTCATCCTGGAGTAAGGTGGGCTCTTATTCCAGTATGTCTGGTGTCCTTATAAGAAGAAGAGGGGAGACACAGAGATAGAGGTTCACAGGTAGAGAAGGCCATGTGACAAGAAAGGAAGAAATTGTAGTGATGCGTTGACAAACCAAAAAACACCAAGGATTTCTGGCAATACAAGAAGCTCAAAGAAAGGCACGAAACAGTTGCCTTTAGAGAGAACATAACACTGCCAACACCTTGATTTCAGGCTTTTATCTTCCAGATCTGTGAGAGAACAGATTTATGTTGTTTTAAGCCATCCAAGTTGTGGTATTCTGTTACAGCAGCCACAGAAAATAAATACAGTCAGCCTACAGTCTGGGCTACTGCAAGAAACCCTGCTCTGATCTGCGGTCTCTAGTTTTGTAGTAGAGGGCTTTGTTCCCTAAACAGCTAAGGCAAGTGGAGTGAATAAAGGGCCACTGGGAGCCCTGAACACGGAGTTCCGATGATTGAATTTCCTATATGAAACTCATCCCCACTAAACCATCTCCAACAATTTAAGTGCTTAGTTCCAGCATGCATGTTTTATAATCTAAGCCTTTTTGAAATACTGTTATAAGTTGTTTACAGCAGGAAACAGCCTCTGAGATGCTGAGATTTGCATACAGAAGGACTTCTGGGGAGTGCTTGCTGTAACAATACCTGTGAGTTACTAGGGAAACAAAGTTGGGCAGAGGGGGAGGTTGAACCACAAGGGAATTACAACAGAGGTGCCAGCTAATCCTATAGGGATATCTAGAGCTGGAATGGCCCTTTGGAGTCATCCCAACTGAAGCAGAGATAAGGCTTTTGTTTTCCCACAGATCAGCTATTGGATGTAGGCTGCAGGTAGGGAGGAGCCATAGCTTTGGGGCAAGATGGGGTCCTTTAGTTACAAGCAATTCCTGGTTATAGACACAGCTGTGAACAACCAGGGGAAATTGAGTGCCTGGGTCCTAAGGAGGGATCTCGAGGGTGGACCGCAGCATCTACTACGTATATGGATGGAAGTCTTTCTGCCTAATTATCATCTGTTATTAGAATGTGTCCATAAGAGATTCCATACCTGAACTAGAATTGCCTTACTCTGGGAAATAATCCATTGGGTGGATTATTGTCTCTCAAACCATATCTAGTGGCAGGTCTAAGAGATCTCAGCCCTGCATTCTTGTGTCTTTCCTTCTTTCACCCACACATTTTCCAGCTCTACCCATTGCAACGACTCTTAATATCTCCATTTCAGAATGGCATCTGATCACATTTGGACCACAATAATTTCTTCTCTTTTTCTACTTACCCAAGGACAGTGAGGATCATCATTTGAGGGCTTGGAAATTGCCATTTATTTACTTGTTCACTTACTTACTCACTTGTCAGCCATCATACATTTTTAATACCTACTTTATACTATACTAAGCATTGAGTATAAAAAAAAGAAAGAAGAGATTGTAAAAGGCCTTACTCACCACGATGATGAGGTGGATTTTATCGAGACACAATGAAGACACTTATGGGCATTACTGTGACTTGAATAGATTTGTGTTATTAAAGGAGCCCTTGTGGGTGGTAGAAAGGATGCACTGCAGGAAGGTCCCACAATACAAGGATGCAGCTCGCAGGTAGAGAATTTAAACACAAGTTGAGTCACTCTTCAAACCTCAGCTGAGTTACCATCTTCTGTCCTTCTTTAAGATCCACTTTGCTGTCCAAGTTAGCAGTGTTGCAAGGAGCAAGCTGACAGCCTGCTTGGGTAAAGGGACTCACATCCTCCTCCTAAGCTACCAGCAACCCCTGGGGCCCAGCCACATGCCTTTGTGTATGCAAACACACCACGTGTGTGACCTCAGGTCACAAACACTCAGTGTGAAGCCCACAGCTGTCCACATGGACGGGATGCCTCTAAAAAAATGAGCCCCCAAAGGATGCATCATTTCATTTTGGCTTTTTCCTCAACAGCCTCAATAGCTTTGGGCCCATCCCTAATAGGTAAAGTAAATCTCTCAGTGGGTGGGATTTCCACATTAAATACAAGTTATAGATCTAAGTGTATGACCTAGCAACAGAGACTGTATCCCAAAGAAACAAGAGCAGGATAATTCTTTTTCTAATTAGCCAACTATAGACTGGAAAATAGAAGAGGAAATATCGTATTAATAATCATTATTTTAAGGTAATAGCTTATGTTCTTTAATGCAGTTCCAATATAAATGTCACTGTAAAGAATGATATTTCATTTCAATACTTACAAATCAGGTACTTAGTGTGCTGGGGGAGAAATGATTGGAACTACTTTAAAGCTGCATTAACCAGAGAAACTGCAAAAATATTTACATTCTTATGAAGGAAGGAAAGAATGCCTCTCACGGGTGTATTTAAGTATCCTCCATCTTTTGGATAAATGGTAATGCTAAACAAAAAATGGAAAGATGACCTTAGAATAATAATCTCAAGACTCAACTGGGACTCAGCTTCCCAATGTACAAAAAGCATTTGCAATATGTTCAGGATGGAAATTTCTATACTGCTTTGTAGCTCATAGACTGCATTATGTACCTTACGCAAAAATCACCAAAACACCCAACTCCAGGCTGGCTTCCTTCCCATGGGGTGGGCCCCCCCATATGTAAAATTACTCACCATCCTCTGTGAGTATCACTGCCTGTGATTCTGCTCAGTTACTCAACAATGTTTGTAAGGACAGGAAAACAAAGAGAAGGAGGAAACTAATACATTCGGAGAAGTGTTTTTCATATAGAGAATGGGATTCTTAAACCAAAACCAGGTCTGGCACTGTTAGGGCTTTCTCTAGCCAGTTCTCCCTCCATTATTCCTTCTAGTGACCCAATGCAAAAGCCATTTGGAAAATTTCACAAGATAAATGCTGCTCCAATACCTGAAGGCCATCCACTGGGTGAGCCCTTTCATTCTTTGTCCTCTCCAACAGCCTCTGTGTACACTGCACAGTAGAGAGTTGGTGAGGGCCTGAACCTATGAGTCATTTCATTTTCAAACAGCTCCAGAGAACTTTGAGTTTCCAGCTGATTTATTGTGAATGGCACTGATACTTACGTGACTAGAAGCTGTTTGTTTGAATTGGTGCTTGGAGAAACAAACTCAATGACAGTCACAAGCTAATAAATCTTTGAAGAGTTACATGGAGTTGTCTTTTAAACAAATGACAAGCCCCTTCCCATCAAGACACATGTACAGAGAGAGACACAAACCTATGTCCATAAGGCCTTAAAGTCACAATATTTAAAGCTTTTTTTTTCCAATCTTATACGTTTTGAATGACAAGGGAGTGAACAGATTTCTGATTATATAACCTCCAAGTATATTCACATATATGTTTTCTTTTAGTCCCTACAAAACCTTGTACGGTAGGATAAAAGGAGTCCTTATTAAAATCTGCATTTGACATATGAAAAAAAATAGGTTCCTAGAAGTAAGTAGCTTTCAACACTGCTGGTAAGTGAAAGAGTGAGATCTCTTGATGCCCAATCTCAGACTCATCCAATGATTTCAGCTCTTCTTATTCTTCTTTTACATTAATGTGGGTGAATAGGATTAATTCAGTCTAAGAATTTATTAATTCAGTAACAAAACAATTATTTGAAACAAGTCTTTAGACTAAGTGGCTATTTGACAGAATTAATAGTCAAAAGGGTGGTTCGGTAGCTCTGAGTTAAAAAAAATCTTCGACTACATGAGAAGTTAGATAATGTGCATTGCCTGTCACACCCTGTACTCTCTTTGGTAACTAACAGATTTCTACAAGCTCAGGATTGCATAGATGCCAAGTGCTTCCTAGCTGTTCCAGGAGACTATCAAAGCCAACACAATGAGCTTAATGCTGGGGAGGTCCAGGTATTCTTAGGGTTGAATGGAAGTCACCGAGGAGCAGTCTGTCAGCTTGCCTAAGAAATTTACAAGAGTCTATTACCCTGGCACTGTCAAAATGTCCTTTATTTATGCTTCTCTATGGGGGAGTGGGAAAAGCAGCCAGAACAGCCTGCTGTAGCAGCTATCCAGCTGCTCATGCAGTTAATATAGCTGTAGAAAGAATGTGATTTATACAAGAGCACTTTCTCTCAACACTAGCATATGAGTCCAAAACCCACTCATTCTGGGAGACCCACGCCATGCACACACTTTTGTGTGCTCTGGAGACAGCAGGATAACAAAGAGAACTACAGATTTAGATTGACGCAGAAGATGGAAACACAATAGATATATGTACCAACAATATCTACACACTGACCTATGCCCTTTATGATGTACATAGAACTAGTCCACTTGTTGCAGAAGGCAAGAATTTTATGCATATAACAACAGAGCCAGGCAAGCAGAGGTTCTGTAAAAGTTGGGGATGCATGTCAAAGAGAGGCTCCCAGCTGCTTGCTAGTGAGGGCAGCTGATTGAGGAACCAAATTGGAAAGCATGCACGCATTGCTTCCAGGATCAAGATAGATGATCCTGCAGGTGAAAGCAATTGTTGAACCCGTTTTTCAAGGCAAGGGAGGACCAAACTCTACTTGGAGCCTTCTTCCCCTTTTAGGTGAGAAAGCAGGTACGAGCTGTCTATAATTTCTATGTATTGTTGCTGGACAGAAAGTATGGGTGTCCTGCAGCCTCACATACCTGATAAGGGCCCTGGTTGCAGCCACAGTAGCTGCTTTCCATGGTGTAGCTTCTGGACACCCCCATCTCTCTCCACACCACCACCCGGGCCGTGGAAGCTCGAGATTTCTCCACGAGAAAGCTGCAGCTGCTCATTGTGAATGCTGGTGCTAGCTTATCAAGGATTTTGGGAAGAGTCTACAGTAAAAACAAAAATCAAACGATGATTAGTTGTGGGTGACTAGGGATAGTCATCATAAAAATAGCTTCTCAACATTGTTAAGCATCTATATATAAAATACTCGTTACTTTAAATCATTTATTAACCCTAAGAAATGGCTATCACTTTTTAAAAATCATTTTGCAGATGAGGAAACAGGCTTAGAAAAGGTAGAAATAGGCCAGGAGCGGTGGCTCATGCCTGTAATCTCAGCACTTTGGGAGGTTGAGGCAGGTGGATCACCTGAGGGCGGGAGTTCAAAACCAGCCTAGCCGTCATGGTGAAACCCCGTCTTACTAAAAATACAAAAATTAGCTGGATGTGGTGGCAGGCACCTGTAATCCCAGCTACTCAGGAGGCTGAGGTAGGAGAATCTCTTGAACCCAGATGATGGAGGTTGCAGTGTGCTGAGATTGCGCCACTGCACTCCAGCCTGGGAGACAGAGTGAGACAGCATATCAAAAAAAAAAAAGTTAGAAATAAATAGCTGAAGTCCAGAAAACCATAAAGTTGCTAGAAAGGAATCCAAATGCCAACCTGGCCAACTCCATAATCTTTCAATTCCTGTATTGCTATGGACCAAGGCTGCACACATACATTTGGCCTCATACATGAAAGAGTTGAGACTACGGAAATCCTCAGATTTCAAAGGGACTTGAAATTTACAGACTACATCCAGCCTCACTGTTACTTAGCAGGGTCAGACTAGGGACTGTTCACTTATTTCACAAGGCCAAAGGGGCCAGTGATGATTCTAGAGAAGAAGCACATATAGTTCACTTCTTTCCTAAGAGTATATAATTGCCAGAATGATCTTTTTCGTCTCATCTTCTAAGCCAAAAATCTGAGGCTTGATCAATATGAAACTCCTGAAAATCCATCCTCTCTGGGTTCATATGTTCCACCTTTTCTTGGGGTAAAAATATTTTATTTATGACTACTTAATCTCCATTTAGAAGGCATCTCTAGACACTTGACACCCTGATTGACAGAAAGGGATCTTCCAGCCACTAGACCTCCTCCCCAGAGGACAATGACTCAGAGTTGATAGTATACACAGTTCTGAGTCAGCAGAAATACTGCGATTAGTCCCAGAACTTTTATGACATTAACAAGAAGGATTCTCTCATTTTAGTGTTGGCAGAATATGCATAAATAACACATAGTATAAAATTACATACATTAGACAATAGTGAAGCCTTAGGCTTTTAGACAAATTACAGGGAGAAAGTAGAGAAGCATAACAAGTTAATGAGAATACAAATGAAAGAATTGTTTTTAAAGAGATGCAGTTTTGTTAATTTCTAGAACATTGAGCAAATCTCTTACTCTCTCTGGTACTTACTGTCCTCATGTTAAATGTAACTGTTAATTATAATTATTAATCATCTTATAAATTACATATTATATAAATATATTAGCATAATTAATATAATTCACTATGATCTCTAAATTCCTACATAGCCTCCAGACTTACAATCATCTAAAAAAGGGAAATAGAATGCTAATGTTATCTTCACTTGAGTGTCTACAATTGCCTCCTAACTGATTTCATCTTATCCACTCTTGTCCCTCCCTTCCTATAATCCCTCCATCTATTTGTTCCTTCAAAGTGCTCATTACAATTACAACTGAATTATTGTGTATGTATTAGTTGTTTGTTTTCTATCTCCCCAGAAGCCTAGAAGTTCCATGAGGGCAGGTCTGTGTCTTATTCACAGGAAAATCCCTACACATCGAGCAGTATGTTGCTCATAGAGGTTACTACATAATTATTTGCTAAAATAAATAGAATCTGCTAGTCCAGACCCCTGGGGGGCTGGTCAAATAGACATAAATATATTGTTTCCATATCCTGCAACTAAAGTGATCAATAATACTGGCAAATAGCTTTAACTTAACATTGGCATACCATGTCGCAAAAGTTTACTCTTACATTGTTTAAGTGACTTTTCCTTTTTTACTTAAGTGAAACCATTTTTTTCTTCCATAGGTTCTATCTCTCTCTTTTTTAAAAAAAATAAAAAGGCTTTATTTAAAGCAGTTTTAGGTCCACAGCGAAACTGAGAAGGAAGATGCAGGGATTTCCCATATGCCCCCCACTCCTGTACATGCATGGACTCCCTCAACATTGACATCCCTCACCAGAGTGGTAGGTTTGTTGTAACTGCTGAACCTACATAGAAACATCATCACTCAAAGTCTATAGTTTACATGAGGATTCTCTTCACTTTTGGTGTTGTACATCTTATGGGTTTGAAAAAATGTATAATGATGTGTACTCAATATTACAGTATTATCCAAAGTAGTTTTACTGCCCTAAGAATCCCCTGTGTTCCACCTATTTTTCCTTCCTTCCTTCCAAACTCCTGGCAACCCCGATCTTTTTAGTCTCCATGGTTTTGCTTTCTCCAGAATGTCATACAGCTGGAAATACAGTATGTAGCCTTTTCAGGTTGTTTTCTTTAACTTAGTAATATCCATTTAAGGTTCTTCCGTGTCTCTTCATGGCTTGATAGCTCATTCCTTTTCAGCACTGAATAATACTATTGTCTGTTTATAACAAATATTGGGCTGTAGCTGTCTTTTCTTGTGATGCCCTCATTTTGGCTTTGGTATCAGGATAACACAGACCTCATAAAATGAGTTGGCAAGTGTTTCTCCTCTATTTTCTGAAAGGATGTTTTTATAATTAGCACTATTTTGTTCTTAAGAGTTTGATAGAATGTATCAACAAAGCCATTTGGGCCTAGACTTCCATTTGTGGGAAGAGTTTTAATTACTAATTCTTCTTTCCACTTAAAATAAACCTCATCAGATTGTCCATGTGTCCTTGAGTCAGTTTTGGTAGTCTGTGTTCTCCTAAGAATGTATTCACTTGTTGGCATAAAGTTGTTAATGATATTCATTTTTACTTTGTAAGATCTGTAGTGATGCCCCTTCTTTCAATCCCAATTTTGGTAACTTGTATCTTCTTTCTTTTCTTTGTCTAGCTAAATAATGATCATTTTGTTGACCGTTTTAAGAAATCAAATTATGAATTATTGAATGAAAAGCATGTTCTTTATGGATTCTCTATTGTTCATATGATTTTTATTTCATTGATCTAACTTTGGCTTTTATTTTGTTCTTTCTTATACTTTGGGATTTATTTGCACTTATTTTTCTTGTTTCTGAATGTGGATGCTTAGATTCTTGATTTTAGATCTTTCTGCATTTCTAAATATTATAAATTACAAAGTTCCTTCTGTGTACTATTTTTGCTGCATACTATAAATTTTCACATATTGAGTTTTAATTTTTATTCACTTAAAGATATTTTCTAATTACCCATTGGATTTCCTCTTTGATCCATAAGTTAATTTGATACAAATTGTTTAATTTCCAAATAATCAGAGATATCCCAGATTTCTTATGAAAGTTAATTTATAATTTAATTCTCTTGAGTAGGTGAATATTCTGTGCATGGTTTCAGTCCCTTAAGATATATTGATATTTATTTAATAGCCTATTATAAGATCTATGCTGGAGAAATTTTGATGTGCACTCAAAAAGAATATACATTCTTTTGTTTTGAAAAGAACTGCTATATGTAAGTTAAGTCAGGTGTTCTCCATACTAATTTTCTTTTTGGTTATTCTATCACATACTGAGAGAAGACTACTAAAATATTCAGCTATTATTATTAAATTTTAAATGCCTTCTTTCAACTTTTTCTTCTTGTATGTCAGAGTATATATATTCACATACATTTATAATTGTTACACCTTGCTGATTAACAATTTGTTTCAGTATTATGAATTGCACCCTTAGCTCTAGTAATATTTCTCCTTTTAATGTATATTTTGTCTTATGTCAATATAACCATCTTTATTATGGTTACCATTTGCATGGTGTATCTTTTCCCATCTTTTAACTTTTAAGCTGTTTGCATTATTGAATCAAAAGCATGTCATTTATAGACAATATATACTTGAACCTATTTTTTAAATCTGGTCTTACAACCTCTGCCTTTGGAATGAGGGTTTGTTCGTTCATATTTAATGACATCATTGATATTTTTGGATTTACATTTGCCATTTTGTTGTTTGATTCTATATGTCTCATATATGTTTTGTTCCTCCTATACTATCTTCTTCTCTCATTATATCTTCAAATATTTTTTCAGACATTTATTTTCCTCTCTTTTTGGGCCTCCCATTACATGTTGGTTGATATGCTTTATGCTATCCTATAGGTCTCTACAGCTGTTTACTTTTCTTTAATCTTGTTTTCTCTGTTCTTTGAATTGAATAATTTGGGGTTAATCATCAAATTACTGATTCATTCTCTACTATCTTGCCATCTCAAATCTGCTGACAATCCCACCTAGTGAATTTTTCATGTTGGTTATGATACTCATCAACACTATCTCCTTCCTTCCTTCCTTCCTTCCTCCCTCCCTCCCTCCCTCCACTCCCCTCCCCACCCTTCCCCTCCCCTCCTCTCCTGTCCTCTTTCCTACCTTCCTTCCTTCCTTCTTTCTGTTCTAATTATCCATCAAATTTCCATATATATTGAGTAATGGTCATCATATTTTGCCATTAACTTTTGAACATAATTTTCTTTAATTATTTGAACATATTTTAACAGTTGCTTGGAAATAATTATGAATCCAACATGTTGGCCCACTCTTGTTTCTACTGACTGCTTTGTTTCCTGAGCGTGGATTTCACATTCTTGATTCTTCACAAAATTGTAGTTTTTGGTTGCAAACTGGACATCATAGATTATACTTTTTTTTTAGCATCTCTGGATTCTATTTTTTAAATGTTTTTAAATTTTTAACTACTTTCCTGGATTAATCTGCAGAATATTTCTTTCTTTTTTCTTCTGCAATGTGTGCCACTGATGTCTCTACACAGTTTCTACATTCTTATTTAAATTATTTAGCTTGACATCTGTGGCTGCTTGGCCTAGTGGTTATACAATAATTTGGGCAAATGTAGTGCTCAAATATCTTGAGTGCATAAGACTTCCACTCTCTGTTGATTGATTTGTATGTGATTTGGGAAGACATTCAAAATTGTGGCAGTTCTTAAGTCTCTTTGGACTTTCTTTCTCACTGGGCCCTCTTGGGTCTCCTCTAGAGACATATATTTTTCCATAATCCATACGATATAGTTTAGATACATGTCCCCACCAAAATCTCATGATGAAATGTAACTCCCAGTGTTAGAGGTGGGGCCTGGTAGGAGGTGACTGGATTACAGGAGTGGATTTCCCATGAATGGTTTTGCATCATCTTCTTGGTGCTGTCGTTGCAATAATGAGTGAATTCTCATGAGATCTAGTAGTTTAAAAGTGTGTGACACCTCCCCCTGACTCTTTTCCTGGCTCTGTTCTCACCATGTGAAGTGCCTGCTCCCCCTTCACCTTCTACCACGATTGGAAGCTTTCTGAGGCCTCCCCAGAAGCAGATGCCAACATTATGCTTCCCGAACAGCCTGCATAACCATGAGCCAATTAAACCTCTTTTCTTTATAATTTATCCAGTCTCAGCAATGCAAGAATGGCTTAATACACCATGTATTTATAGAGAGCCTATCTTAGCTTTTCTGTGGCTCTCTCATTTCTAAGGTCTCCCTTGTAAATTTCTGGCTGTGTGTGTGTGTGTGTGTGTGTGTGTGTGTGTGCGTGCATGTGTGTGTGTGTGGCTATCCTTCTGTTGGTAAAACTGCATTTCTTGATGACCACATAGAGTGGTGTCAGGAGCAGCCCCAGTCAAGAAGGTTACAGACCCCTGCTGTTCTTACATGAAGTTCCAGCAATTTTCAAGAATAAATGCTTCTCAATTTATCATCTGTATTTGGTCAATTTACAGAGTCCTAAAAGGGCTGCTTTTCAAAATTTTCTTCTATTTTATACTGCGTTTTGCAGAGAGGATTCACTGACCTCTTTATACCAACATAACTAGAAGTAGTACCATTAAAGTTGATTAATAAAACTGAATAAATGTTGCAGAGTGGATGTGAAATATAACAGGGTGTATAATCGTCTCTTCAATACTAATGGTAAATGACCAAATAAAGTCTTAGATAAGTTTAACATGTTTAGAATTGTTCCACTTTTGATGGTAATGAAGGAATCAGCCTCTAAGCATCAACAGACTCTTGACTGCTGGTAGATATCATGATGATAACATTAACCTATCTTACCAAGACATTCTCCCCTGAGTCTCAATTTTCCCATCTGTAAAATGAGTGGGTCCTTTCAATTCTGACAAGATCCATTTGTATACACAAAAGTCTTTTTAGGCAGATCACCAGTGTTAAGATAATTATTTACAGATCATTATGTCCTAATTTAGAGTGTCAGTGATAGAGGGAGTTATATACTATGTGGGACCCCAAAAAGCAAAGCTGTTTGGGTTGAAAGCCAGGGATGTGACCAAACCATATTCACTTCACTACCTCCACATATGTCATAGTAGCCCATGAATCACCTTTAAGGAATCCCAGGGCACCAACAAACTTGATGTAATAAACTATGTAGAAAATTTAACTTCCTAATTTCACAAGGGAGAAAAGTGAGGCTCAGACAACTGACCCACTCACAGTTAAAGAACCTTATAGGTGAGCATTAATGTCTAGATGGATTAATCTTTTTAACAGCATTGCTATTAAATACCACTGTCCTTATTCTCATAGGCAGAAACTGGCATACCTGTCTCTATAATGTTATGCCTTTTACCTTAACTGACACTAATCTGGGCCTCAAAATGTGTTTTGAATTTATTAATTAAACAGTATGAATTATTCACAAAAATTAAAATACAGTTGATAAGAACCCATCCTATCATTCCCTACAATGTCTGACCTCTGCCCCATTTCATGTCAGCTTCGTACAGGAGACTTTTTAAAGGTTCTGTGTCTTATACCTTTTCCTGTGTATAGGGAATTATCTATTAATATTATTACCTTCCCTTGGAAAAAGAGAAGTAAAAAACATGCTGACTCTATATTTAAGATTGGACCATGGTAGATTTTTTTGATTCAAGATGTATCACATATAAGAGATCATTTTATATGGGTTGGGTCCACAGGAGCTGCCCAGATGAATGCTTTAATTTACTAAACTAGTTTCCTAAATAAGATTAAGTTATTAAGCTTCTTATGGTTTATCACCATTACTCTGGTTGAGCCTTACAGCAAACAGGTTATTGAGGATAAGCTGTTGATTCTGCTATAAAAGCCTTGGGGTGGTTGTATTGATCAGCGGCAGTCTATTTTTGATGGACTGAGTGAAGAAGGCTAGAGAAGAGGGGATGTATTTCCAGGTGAAATGGTGACTTGGTGGATTTTTACCTCTTAATACTATCATTAACCCTGGGGATGAAGCTATTTTGCACATAGTAAATTGCATACCCAGAATAACAGTAGAGGCAGACACCATCATAATTTTCTACTTTTTCTACAGAAATTTTAAACAAAGACCAGTTTTCATTTAGTGTTTGGGCAACTTTGCTTCTTCCTGATTCTCATTATGCAATAGCTTGTTGCCTTTATCCTGATGGGAAGAAGTACTCCCTTCTTTACCCCTCCCTAATTTCCTATGTGGTTTCATGGAGGAACAGTTGAGCTCTAACCACTAAAACTAAAGTAAAATAGAATTAGGGTCAGTGGATTACTGATCTGCTTTTTATAGAATTCTCATGCAGAGAGATGTAGATGGTTTAATGGCTTATGTTTATTCATCCCTTCCTATTTATTTGAAGTCCTTTTGTATTCAGTATCATTGTGTTCCTTCCATAAGCTATGTAACAGAGGCAGTATTTTTACTATCCTCATTTTACAGATGGCAGAAGGGTGGTTCAGAGAGGTAATGTTAATGACCTCATAATCACACAGTTAATAATCGAATAATTGTAAAGCCAGGTATTAAGATGAGGTCTTCTGTCTCTAGTTCTCATGCCTTTTATACAATATCAAACCACATAGAAAACAGGGGCAAAGCAACAAGTCAGTAAGTCATTATTCAACAAAAATTAGGAGAGGTTACACATGCTTCCAGCCTGCTTGTATTACAATCCTATGGTTAGAATAATTAAAATGCTTATTTACAAAAAAAAAAAAAAACTAAATAAATGAGTGGGGCATGGTCTTAAAGGTAAGAATGAAGAATATGAACACAGCATGTCTGATGTCATTCCCCACAGCGGCTTACCCTGTAGTTGACCTCCTCTAGGATAGTAGATGTGCCCACAGTGCATGCTGCTTGCCACAAGGTTTCCTTGATGCTACAGCCATAAAGGAACACATTCTTCTTTTGGGAGTGGCCATGGAAGTCACAGAAAACCTACAATAGCCCAACAAAGGAGAAAATAAAACCAGGTCAGGTCATTGGTTTCTTAAATCCACTTAAATCGTATCTACTCATGTTCCATGGCTCAAAGAAAGTTTACAATGTCAACTTTCTCGGATGCTGTTGAGTTAGCAGACCAGCCATGTGCGGATCACTGGTGTCTTTGGCAAGAGTGGCATTGATTGTATCGATGGAGTTATCAGAGGAGAATGTAGACTTTAAGGGTCTTAGGAGTGAATAGAATACGAAGAAACGCAAGTCATGTATAGCTCTTTTGATAAATTTACTTGTGACTGGGTAGGAGGAATGGGCAAAGCTGGAAAAGAAAATAGGAACAAGGGCATTTTAAGATATCTATGAGTATTTTAAACAATTTGATGAGAACACATGGACACACAGAGGAGAAAAACACACACGCTGGGGCATTTCAGAGTGTGGAGAGTGGGAGAAGGGAGAGGATAAGGAAAAATAACTAATGGGTACTAGGCTTAATACCGGGGTGAGGAAACAGTCTGTACAACAAAGCTCCATGACACAAGTTTACCTGTGCAACAAATCTGTACTTGTACCCCTGAACTTGAAGGTTAAAAAAAATTAAAATAAAAGTCAATAGGAAAGATCCTTCAAAAGGGAATTGGTGAAATATACAAAAACAGAAGCTAATCAATCACTCTAATTTTTCTCTAGGCTCCAATGTGGAAAAGAATGACCATCAAAACACAATGGCTTATCAAACAAAGGATTATTTTTCATTCATACTAGAGATCGGCTATGACTCTGCTCTGCATGTTTTCTTCATTCTAGGATCCAGGCTAAAGAAGCCCTAATTTGAAACATGCTACTCTTGTGGTAGAGGGGAAAAACTGTCAAAGGTAGAATCAGGTAATGGCCATTAAAGCTTCTACTGAAGCGTGGCAAACGTCATATCTGCTCAAAGTCCACTGGTCAAAGAAAGTCACATAACCAATTTTATCAGTGGTGTAGGTAAGTACGTTCCTCCTAAAGGGAGGTTCTGCAAATCATATGACAAGGGCAGTGATGCAAAATCTTATTATAAGGAGAGATGCTAATAATGGAGAAAAATAATAAAATCTAAAAAAGACCACAACTTTTTTTCTATTCTTGTATGCATGACCCTTTGCAGTAGACTATGTTTCATCTTCATCAATAGGTAGAGTACATTTCTTCACCTCTGGAATATGCACTTAGCCATTGATATGGTTTGGCTGTGTTCCCACCCAAATCTCACCTTGAATTGTAATAATCTCCACATGTCAAGGGTGGGTCCAGGTGGAAGCAATTAAATCATGGGGGTAGGTCTTTGCCATGCTGTTCTCCTGATAGCGAATAAGTGTCATGAGACCTGATGGTTTTATAAAGGGGAATTCCCCTGTATTCCTTCTCTTGCCTGCTGCCATGTAAGATGTGACTTTGCCCCTCATTTGCCCTCCACCATGATCGTGAGGCCTCCCCAGCCATGTGGAACTGTGAGCCAATTAAACCTCTTTCCTTTACAAATTACCTAGTCTCACGTATGTCTTTATTAGCAGCATAAGAACAGACTAATACAGCTATGTAGCATCTTTTGGTCAATAAGACTGAGCAAATATGATGCAAGCTGAGGCATATTAAGGGGTTTGCTGTCTTGCTGTTCCCAGGAACCTTGCAACAACCATCACGTGAGTAAACATAGGCTGGGCTGCTGGATGATGAGACTCTCTGCAAAGTCATCCCGATTGACCTAGCTGATATCAAGCCAACCACCAGGTATGTGAATGAATCTAACTTAGACCATCCAGTCCTAGCCAACCTGGGTCAGAGCAGAGGAATCATAATGCATAGCTTTTGTTTAAGCCACTAAGTTTTGCTGTGGTTTATTATACAACAAAAGCTAAGTGTTAGAATAATCTCTCCTCCTAGTCTAAATATTTGTTTCCCTCCCTTCCACATACAAAATACACTCACCTATTCTCCAAGGAAAATACACTTAAAGAGCCCATTCCATTACAGTATCAGTCTCAGCCCAAAATTCCATTATAGTTTCTATATCCTGTGTATGCCTTCTCCTTATCTATGAAGAAAAAGGCAAGCCACCTGTTTTCTGTTCATCTACCTACAATGGTTGAATGAGGAAATAATATCCCCAGTAACACTCATGTTTCAAAGGAGATGAATAAGATGGATATAGCAGTTGCTGGTTCATAACAATTCTGTAATGCTTTCATCCAGGCATTGTGAGATGCCTGTATCCTTTGGGTAGGGCCAGTTGGTTGATTAGACCCTGGTTCTGCTCCCTGTCATTAGTTGTCCAGTATTATTTTTTCTACAGATATTTACTCTTTCCTTGTGAGGTACTTATTTTTCCTGTATCTTTCTTGGCCATGCATGAAAAGGGCATTGAACAATATTGCCTACTTTAAGGCAAAGCCTCTAACTTCTCCAGTTCCTGATGTAGAAGTTTGGGGTCCAAAGATCATTTTGGTCTGAAAAAGTCACAGTCTCTTTGAATCAAAACATTAAAAGAATGGAAATGAAACACACGACAGTAAAAGAATATATTTTTCTTTTTTTCTTGACTTTAATTTCTCTAAAACACAACTGACAGTCTAAAGAAAAATAGTAGCAATATACTGCATGTTTATAGCATATGTAAAAGTAAATGTATCACAATCGTATTATAAAATGTGAGAAAATAAACGGTTATATACTGTCATAAGGTCCTTGTAGTAGAGAGGAAGCAGTATGTTATCTCAAGGTAGACTCTAATTAATTAAAGATAGATATTGTAAACAATAGGGCAAACACTAAATTACTTTTAAGGGGCATGAATAATAATTCAAATGTGGAGATAAATTGGGATCATAAAAATGCTCAATGAATAAAAGAGAAAGCAGAAAAGATAGGAAGCTCTAAGAACACATGAAAAAATAGAAAACAGCAAAATGGTAGATTTCAACCCAAACATATCAATAATCTTACTTATTGTAAATGGTCAAAACACACTAATTAAAAGGTAAAGAGTATCAGTTTGGATAAATAAGAAAGATCAAATATATTCTGCCTACACGAAGTTCATTTTAAATAAAAAGACACAGATAGGTTGAAAGTAAAAGGATGTAAAATATAGTATGCAAATACAAAACAAAAGAATGCTAGAGTAGCTATATTAATTATCAGATAAAGTAGACATCAGAACAAGAAGAATTATCTGGGATAAAGCGAGATACGATGGTTGATGTATCCCTCCTGTCTTTGGTGGTTAAGTGCTACCACTTGGCCTCTGTACTCTAGGATTGCATAATCTCCATAAAATCAAAGACCCCATCTCGCCAGGCGCAGTGGCTCACTCCTGGAAATCCCAGCACTTTGGGAGGCCGAGCCAGGTAGATCACCTGAGGTCAGGAGTTCGAGACCAGCCTGGCCAACATGGTGAAACCCTGTCTCTACTAAAAATACAAAAAATTGGCCAGGCATGGTGGCATGCGCCTGTAATCCCAGCTACTTAGGAGGCTGAGGCAGGAGAATTGCTTGAACCTGGGAGGTGGAGGTTGCAGTGAGCCGAGATCGTGCCATTGCACTCCAGCCTGGTCAAAAAGAACAAAACTCTGTCTCAAAAAAAAAAAAAAAAAAAAAAAAAAATCTCAATGGTGGCATCCCCTACAAACCTGGCCTTCAAAGGAGAACAACTACAGAGTTTGTCAAGGATGAAGACACTACTGTATTTCTCATTGCTTCATGGAGGGAGTGTCTTCTGAGCCCTCTCATAAACAGGATAAACTCAGTATACATTTCTATCTCCTAGAGACTTTGCATACTCTCCCCTACATTATGCCAGCAAAGCTCTGGAATCTTGACCTTACTAAATGTAGACTATTGTTGAGCACAACATTCATTCAACCACCCAATTAAGCTGTTAGATCCACTTCCAGCTGCGCAAGCTAACACATTAAATTTAGAACCTCTAGATTGTATACTCATGTCAATGAAGTCAGCCAAATCTAGTGAATTTCTGCCCTTATTAGAATACTCCCACACATGTTGCCCACGTTTCTAATGATATATATTATCAAATCTTGTAATTCTTTTGTGTGCAAGCTATTTCTTTTTGGGTAACAGCATGTACTTATCTTCTAGGATCATGCTGATATTTGATTCTAGTTAGGAGATCAGGAGGCAACATGAGGTAGTTGTTGTGGGTCTTGAAAAAAATTGGCTCAGTCTCTAGAGGCATCTGTTCCAGGTGATGTTATTACAGAATTTTCCAGCAGGGGAAAGCTAGTCTCCTCAGTTACTATTGCTACTAATACGTGAGGCTTGCATGATTTGCATGATGTCCTATTCTAGACTTTAGAGCAGTGGGTCTCTCTCTCTCTCTCTCTTTTTTTTTTTTTTTTTTTTTTTTGAGACATAGTCTCACTCTTTCACCCAGGCTGAGAATGCAGTGGTGCAATCATGGCTCACTGCAACCTTCGAGATCCTGGGCTCAGGTTATCTTCCTGCCTCAGCCTCCAAAGTAGCTAGGACTACAGGCAAGCGACACCATACGTGGCTAATTTTTAAAATACTTTTGTAGAGACAGGATATCCCTCTGTTGCCCAGGATGGGTCTCAAATATTAATAAGCATCAGAATAACCTGGAGGTCTTGTTAAAGCAGACTGCTGAGCCACACCCTGGCAATTCTGTGATTCAAGTAGGTCTGGGTTGAGCCCAAGAATTTGCATTTCTGGCAAGTTTCCGGGTGATGCTCATGCCCCAGCCCCAGGACCTTACTTTCAAAGCCTCTAGTCTAAAGGAACAAATAAAATAATTGTTTGAGGTTTAATCCTCTACTATCACTAATTTTCCACCAACTTTTACCTCTTACATCTTAGTTTCTCTCTGTGAATAAACACTCACCATTCTTATGAAAAGTGTGCAAACAAATTAAAACTGTGTCTTAGCAACAGATTTCTCAATAAAGCCAGAAGCTATGCCTCCTTGGTGATAGGCACTCCTTAAATACTAAATTCAACTGGAGAAAATAGCTTTTCTTCCTTCCCTGATCCTTACAGACTCTGAAAAAGGAAGTAAACGACAAATTATAGAGCCATTCACCTGCAGGAATAAACATGGTGAGTTCTAGTAGCCACAGAAGATTCAGAGTGAAGGAGAAGGAGACATTGTTCTGCTTGTTTCTCAAACGATATCCCTGAAAACAAATGCCTGTTAATTCTAAGAAACATGTGTTTCTTCAAATTGCAGGGTGCAATTACAAGGCAATTATCCAATTATTTAAGTTAAGGAAGCTTTTTCTTTTCTACCATAAGATTTAATACTTATACTTCTTTTCAGTACAATTCTTTAACAGGTAAGCAGAAACTGTTCCCAATACAATATTTACAGGTTAATCAATAGCCCTATTTTTTTTTAAGACAGAGTCTCACTCAGACTGGAGTGCAATGGCCCAATCTCAGCTCACTGCAACCTCCATGTCCCAGGTTCAAGCAATTCTCGTGGCTCAGCCTTCCGAGTAGCCAGGACTGCAGGTGCCTGCCACCACGCTCAGCTAACTTTTTGTGTTTTTAGTAGAGACAGCATTTTGCCATGTTGCTCAGGCTGGTCTCAAACTCCTGAGCTCAGGCAATCTGCCTGCCTTGTCCTCCCAAAGTGCTAGGATTACAGGTGTGAGCCACCGCTCCCCACCTCAATAGCCCTATCTTGTTGTTTATCAATTGATTCAACAAATATTTACTGGGTAACTGCTACGTAATAGGAGAAGTTAAAATTTTAATATAACACAGCACTGCTCTCCGTAACAATAATAATAGCAACAATAGTTAATTTATTGAAGACTCTAGATAGCATGCTAAAAATTTAATCTAGATTATCCCATGGTGAAGTAGGTGCTATTATTATGCTCATTTTGTGGCCGAGAACACTAAATTCCAGATAAAATAAGTAACTTGCCCAAGTTTGTATTGTTATTGTGTGAATAAATATTGGAGCCCCAGTTTGCCCTAACCCAGAGACAATGTTTTAAAACACTTTTCATTTCTATATTACCCCATCCAGAAGCTGATTTGTTGATATTATACCACAAGCCAAGAGGTCATTGTATTACCATAAGAGAAGAGCTGAAGTAGAGATAAGCAGCGTTCTCTGGGAACCCAATAAGAACAGTTGCACACTTCCAGGGGGCAGCATTCACATTGCACTCCAAGGGAGCAGCACCTTGGAAGTGTGCTATGTGGTGCTTCTGGGATTCTCAAGGGAGGTTATACATAAGATGAACCTTACTGAGTGAGAGCTATCCAAGCAAATGACAAAACAGCAAGAAGGATCTGTAGATTTGAGGTATTAACAATAATTTGGAATAAGAGGGTAGAGTGAAAGGAGAATAAATTAGGTATCTATAGAAGTGGGCAGTGGTCAGATCGTTAATGCACTTGTACATCATTCTAGAATGTTGAGACATTTTCTTGAAGGTGGTGAAGGAGCCTTTAAACTAAGCAAGAAGGAGCAAGATGATCAGATCATTAGAACGAAGAACAGAAGTGTTAAGATGGGAGGGACTGAGACTAGGCAAGTGAGATGAGAAGGGCCTAGCTTAAGGCACCAGATATAAGTATATAAAGAAAAGAAGTTTTGTGAGAGTAAAGAAGTAAAATCTACAGGAGTTAGAGACAATGGATTTAGAGGCTAAGAAAGGAAGAGGTTAGGAATAACTCCTTGATTTCCAGATTAAGTAAACAGGCAATGATTGTGCCTTTCCGCAAAGGCAAGGAACATAGGAAGAAATGCAGAATTGAAGACTTTGTGTAGTTTCATCTAGTTTCCTTTGAGCTGGAGTGTTTAGTTTTGAACTTTGGGCCTTTGACTAAACCAATTCCCCTCTCTGTGCCTCAGTTTCTTCATCAGGAAGGTATGGATTGGATTATGCATCTTCCTAGGACCTTTTCCAATGCATTCTTGTCTGAGCTAAATTGCAAGGTTAATTTAGTTCATGCAAACATGAGTTCCATGATTTCTTGCTCCGCAAAGAAGCTGATGAGGACCAGATTGCCATGCTTCTCACATGCCTTCCTCATCTCCTTCCTCCTTGGTCCCATTCTAGTTCCTCTGCAAGTTAATAGGTCCCCCTTGTTCAAGAGGTTACCCTCTCCCTCTCAAACACCTCTCCCTTAGCCGTTCCCCTTTTCCCCAGGGCTCACCTATTCCTGATTGTGTTTACCGCTCTGCTTTGCCAATGTAAACTGCTGTGCTTTCCATTCTGACATCTGGGTCTCATTCCTGCTTCCCAGTATCAAGACATTTGCATTATTTATACCATTGTCACAGGAAAATGAAGGCAAGGCTGAAGCCTAGAGGAGATATATTTGAGAATATGATGGAAACCCAAAACAGCAATGTGTCCAATTAAACCAACTGAGGCTAACTAAAGCCCTGGAGGTTCCAGCTTGTGCACAATATTGTGCAGATGGCATTCAGCCCAAGTTCCTAAATGGAGTTAACATCTCTTTGAGGGAAATGATATTGGTGACACGTTCAGCTACCTTCCAAGAGGCCAATTTGCAAGACCACATTTCCTAGTCTTTTTATTGATAGCCATACTCTCTCCTTAGTAAGTGCTTCATCTGAGTCATCAGCAACATCCAGTCCTAGCTGAGGTTAACCACATTAGGCACATGCAGAATTTATTCCTAAAACCACCTGAAAGGGATTTTATGCTCTGTTTCCTTTCCCAAAGCGAGAGACTCAGACTTTCACTTAAATTGGGTCATCATGGGCCAAAGTTTCAACATGGCCTTAGAAAAGCAGCCTTTACTTACAGATCAGTCTTGGACCCCTCCAATGGCCACTTTGGGGAGAAAAATTTCACATTAAACTCAATAGAATGTATCAATAACCAACTGCTCATGAGACTGCCCACAGTGGGACCCTTTATGCTGAAGGACGTTTTTGGCCATCTCACCTCAGCAGCATGTATTATAATGTTCTTTCCAAAATATTTCAGTTACAATGAAAGAGCGCCTGTAAATCAACCCAAAAACATACAATCTAATATGTGGCTTTGTTTTGTATCTAATGCCCTTCTAGTAAGTAATGATTTTAACGTCTATTATTTATTTGAATGCCAGATATGTGTCGGTCACCATGCTGAGATTTTACACTCCTCTATAATCAGTATAAGAAGTCCTAAAGGAGGATGTTATCCAAATATAGAGATGAGGTTCAATTTCTTCTAAAGTTAAAGGAGGTTAAGCAACTTGCAGATGGACCCATTAGAAAGTGATGTGTGATATCTCAAACTCTAATCAGTGTGGTTCTAAAAGTTTTCCAAACACGACATTTTAAAACATTTGATGGACGAGTGATGAAGAACAATATAACAAAACTCTCAATTCGCGTATTTGAAAGTGAGTGGTCTTGCGTTTTTCCACTCTCCATCTCTGGCCAGCCATCCCTCCATGAGTGGTAAGCCTAATGCCCTGAGAAGGCACTTATGCAGTGAGTTCCTGGGAAGATTCCTCAAGAGTTAAATCTGTTCCCTTTCCCCAGTTTCAGACATTGAAGGGAGAGAAGCAGTAGCCTGGATGTCACCTTTCTACACAATCCCTGCAACCTATCAGCCTGAGAGGCCTTTGCCATCTGTCTCGCTCAGTTGCAGGTACTGAAGTTCTCGAGGTAGAAGCATTAATCTATTTGGTGTACCAAGCCCAATCAGAGCAGATGGTTATTGGGACCTCTGTCTTCACCATAATGTGGGATTCAGACTAGTCTTTTTGACCTATAACAAGGCTTCTATATTGTCTGGCTAAACCCTTGGGGTAGGCTGGGGACTGAATACTGACCTATCACCATGCCTACTCAGTCCCTGTAAAGAGATTTGCCCTTGGCTTTTGCCTCTGTTTCTGAGTTGCTTTCCTAACTGAGAACTGTTGATTGCCTTGGCCCCCAAGGATGGACTGTGCTTTGCTCTGGGCAACCCTCACTGTCTGCGATGAGAACTTTAAGCCCTACGCCCAATGCCCTTGGCCACGATCATTGCTACCTTGCTGTGTTTACCAGATTAGTTTTCTTCAGACATGCACAAGTCTCTTCCGTGTCTTCATCGGAAGCCTCTGTTTTCACTTCTGGCCTTCACGGAGAGCAGCCTTATGGCAAAATTAGTCCCTGTGGCCCCATCTCTATGTATTTCTTGCTTTCACCTATTTCCACTAGCTCTGGGCAGAGGGACCTTCACAAAGGCTGAAGAGGAATGCTTTCTAAGCGGTTACCCTCCTATTTTCCCCTCCCCTCCATCTCCTCATTTCATTCCATTCCACAACAAATAAAACATAAGAAATTTGTTTAGACTTCTTTGAAAATTCTGACTTGCCCTCCCTCTAAGAACATCCCAGATTTTTGACCAGGCACAGTGGCTCATGCCTGTAATCCCAACACTTTGGGAGGCCGAGGCGGGCAGATCATGAGGTCAAGAGATAGAGACCATCCTAGCCAACATGGTGAAACCCCGTTTCTACTAAAAATACAAAAATTAGCCAGGTGTGGTGGCACGTGCCTGCAGTCCCAGCTACTCAGGAAGCTGAGGCAGGAGAATTGCTTGAACCCGGGAGGCAGAAATTGCAGTGAACTGAGATTGCACCGCTGCACTCCAGCCTGGTGACAGATCGAGACCCCATCTCAAAAAAACAAACAAAAAAGAATATCCCAGATTTTCAGCTCTTGTGTTACACAGAAACTACATTGAAGACACTGTTGAGAGCAAGAGAAAAAATGCCCTTTGCTTTTCACTAAAATTTATCAAGAAACTGAAGCAATTCAATTAAATGTAGTTTTTTTGTGTCAGTAAAAATATACACAAAACTTGGTTTCTGGTATGGTAAAGAAGCCTTGTTTAACCTTCATTCTGATAGCATGGGAACAATTCCAAATAAAAGAATATGGAAGCAAACTGAAATATTTTTAATTCAGGACCTTTATGGGTATTCTGTCCTTCCTGACTATGGAACAGGAGTGTTTGTTCTTTTCCTACCATATCCTCAAATGTAAAAAAAGGGAAATTCTAGATGTGGTACCTTAACACGAGTTATGAAAATAAGCAAAAATAACACTTATTCTTCTGCTACTGCTAAGGAATAAAGTGGAAATAAAACAATTCATGTGTATAAAATATCTTGAGGCCCTTGGCGACAAGGGTTATAGAAAGGAATACGCCATCCTTTTTTTCATCTCCTTTTGTGCTTCTTTTAAAAGAAGCTGATTAACCCAAAACATATGCCAGAGGGACAAAATAAAACCAGAAAAATCATTTAAGTAGCTAAAAATTCTATTCCACTGGGCCCCAGAGAAAGACAAAACTACAATATGCCCACCCTGTCCTCTGGCAGAAGGCAGCTCAGTTTGTGTGAGTTATAAACAGAAATTGATGCGCTCTTCAAAGAGGACTGAAATCCCTTTACCAAAATGCACTCACATAGTGAGAGCCAAGAGGATAGGAATCGATCCCATTCCCATTTCTGAAGCCCCAATTACTTGAACAGCACAGGGGCCAGGCCAGCTGCAATATGGCAGCTCAGAAGAGGCTGTCCACCTGGCTCCCCAGGAGCTTGCTGTAGTAGCCTAAGAACTTTCTTCCAGTCCCAGGGATGTCCCCGACTGTCCTCATCTGCCTCCTTGGCCATGAGCCTCTTGGCTTTTAGAGGGAGCTCCACAAAGGGAAACTGGTTCAATGCCTTCTGCTAGCTGATTGTAGAGCTTGTCCGCTTCTTTGGGCTTCTCTGCTTATAGGCCGCCTCTCTGGCTGGATCTTTCTGACTTCTAAACAGACCTTCTTCTACAACCTTTCTGCTCTTTCCTGGGAAAACTGTTTTCCTTGGCTCACATGCCTGTATGCTAGTCAGCTTCATTTAAGGGAGCCCCCTTTGTCTCCTCATTGCATTTTAAATCTCTGTGACTTTGCTTTAATTTTAATTTTCTGCATTTAGGTAAATGTGTACCTAGAGTGAAAAACGCAGATCCTGAATATATAGTTCAATGAGTTTTTGTGTAACCGACTCTGATCATGATATTGAACATCTCTGCTAACCTATAAAGTTCCCTCCTGACCCCTACTATTCAATGCTCTTCCTCAGAGGCAAACACTGTTCAATTTATGTCCCCATAAATTACTTTCACTGATCTTATACTTTACATAAACAGACACATAGAGAATAGAGTATGTAGTCTTTAGTGTCTAGCTTCTTTCACTCAATATAATGTTTATGAGATTCACCCACGTTATTGACTATATCATAGTTCATTTTTTGGTTTAGTTTTGGTTTTAGTTACTGAATAATATTCCAGTGCATAAATATACCAAACTTTGCTGTGTCTGGGCTTCTGTATCTAACATCTGGACTCTCTAACAAACAAAAGAGACAGAAAACCTGGGTTAAAGAAAATGGGAATGGAGTCACAAGAAGGTCTGTGTGATATCAAATGAATCTCTGCGACCCATCAAATGAGAAGCTTCTTTTCCTTTGCCCTGTGTAGTAACCCCAAGCACAGAAAACTCCTGGACTTTCAATTTCACAGGGCAGAAGACTCAAGAGATCATAGGCCTACAGATTCTTTGAGGAAAGAATATTTCTCAGCCTTACTAGAATAAAATCCAAGGGAAACTCTTCTTCATGCAAGTCCAGCTCAAATGGTACTTCTAATCTCTGGCTTTTCCATAACCCTGAGAGAAAATGACTCAACCCTTCATCTATGTTCCTATCAAAGCTCACATGGGCCTTTGTTACAGTGCTTACTATTTTCTACCACTCCAGTTTCCTTGTAGACCTGACTCTACTTTCTACCAAAGTAAAATCTGGGTTCCTCAAAGAAAAGGACAATCTTTTTTTTTTTTTTTTTTTTTTATTATACTTTAAGTTTTAGGGTACATGTGCACATTGTGCAGGTTAGTTACATATGTATACATGTGCCATGCTGGTGCGCTGCACCCACTAACTCGTTATCTAGCATTAGGTATATCTCCCAATGCTACCCCTCCCCCCTCCCCCCACCCCACCACAGTCCCCAGAGTGTGATATTCCCCTTCCTGTGACCATGTGATCTCATTGTTCAATTCCCACCTATGAGTGAGAATATGCGGTGTTTGGTTTTTTGTTCTTGCGATAGTTTACTGAGAATGATGGTTTCCAATTTCATCCATGTCCCTACAAAGGACATGAACTCATCATTTTTTATGGCTGCCTAGTATTCCATGGTGTATATGTGCCACATTTTCTTAATCCAGTCTATCATTGTTGGACATTTGGGTTGGTTCCAAGTCTTTGCTATTGTGAATAATGCCACAATAAACATACGTGTGCATGTGTCTTTATAGCAGCATGATTTATAGTCATTTGGGTATATACCCAGTAATGGGATGGCTGGGTCCAATGGTATTTCTAGTTCTAGATCCCTGAGGAATCGCCACACTGACTTCCACAATGGTTGAACTAGTTTACAGTCCCACCAACAGTGTAAAAGTGTTCCTATTTCTCCACATCCTCTCCAGCACCTGTTGTTTCCTGACTTTTTAATGATTGCCATTCTAACTGGTGTGAGATGGTATCTCATAGTGGTTTTGATTTGCATTTCTCTGATGGCCAGTGATGATGAGCATTTTTTCATGTATTTTTTGGCTGCATAAATGTCTTCTTTTGAGAAGTGTCTGCTCATGTCCTTCGCCCACTTTTTGACTGGGTTGTTTGTTTTTTTCTTGTAAATTTGTTTGAGTTCATTGTAGATTCTGGATATTAGCCCTTTGTCAGATGAGTAGGTTGTGAAAATTTTCTCCCATGTTGTAGGTTGCCTGTTCACTCTGATGGTAGTTTCTTTTGCTGTGCAGAAGCTCTGTAGTTTAATTAGATCCCATTTGTCAATTTTGGCTTTTGTTGCCATTGCTTTTGGTGTTTTGGACATGAAGTCCTTGCCCACACCTATGTCCTGAATGGTAATGCCTAGGTTTTCTTCTAGGGTTTTTATGGTTTTAGGTCTAACGTTTAAATCTTTAATCCATCTTGAATTGATTTTTGTATAAGGTGTAAGGAAGGGATCCAGTTTCAGCTTTCTACATATGGCTAGCCAGTTTTCCCAGCACCATTTATTAAATAGGGAATCCTTTCCCCATTGCTTGTTTTTCTCAGGTTTGTCAAAGATCAGATAGTTGTAGGTAAGCGGCGTTATTTCTGAGGGCTCTGTTCTGTTCCATTGATCTATATCTCTGTTTTGGTACCAGTACCATGCTCTTTTGGTTACTGTAGACTTGTAGTATAGTTTGAAGTCAGGTAGTCTGATGCCTCCAGCTTTGTTCTTTTGGCTTAGGATTGACTTGGCGATGCGGGCTCTTTTTTGGTTCCATATGAACTTTAAAGTAGTTTTTTCCAATTCTGTGAAGAAAGTCATTGGTAGCTTGATGGGGATGGCGTTGAATCTGTAAATTACCTTGGGCAGTATGGCCATTTTCATGATATTGATTCTTCCTACCCATGAGCATGGAATGTTCTTCCATTTGTTTGTATCCTCTTTTATTTCCTTGAGCAGTGGTTTGTAGTTCTCCTTGAAGAGGTCCTTCACATCCCTTGTAAGTTGGATTCCTAGGTATTTTATTCTCTTTGAAGCAATTGTGAATGGGAGTTCACTCATGATTTGGCTCTCTGTTTGTCTGTTGTTGGTGTATGACAATGCTTGTGATTTTTGCACATTGATTTTGTATCCTGAGACTTTGCTGAAGTTGCTTATCAGCTTAAGGAGATTTTGGGCTGAGATGATGGGGTTTTCTAGATAAACAATCATGTTGTCTGCAAACAGGGACAATTTGACTTCCTCTTTTCCTAATTGAATACCCCTTATTTCCTTCTCCTGCCTGATTGCCCTGGCCAGAACTTCCAACACTATGTTGAATAGGAGCGGTGAGAGAGGGCATCCCTGTCTTGTGCCAGTTTTCAAAGGGAATGCTTCCAGTTTTTCCCATTCAGTATGATATTGGCTGTGGGTTTGTCATAGATAGCTCTTATTATTTTGAAATACGTCCCATCAATACATAATTTATTGAGAGTTTTTAGCATGAAGGGTTGTTGAATTTTGTCAAAGGCTTTTTCTGCATCTATTGAGATAATCATGTGGTTTTTGTCTTTGACTCTGTTTATATGCTGGATTACATTTATTGATTTGCGTATATTGAACCAGCCTTGCATCCCAGGGATGAAGCCCACTTGATCATGGTGGATAAGCTTTTTGATGTGCTGCTGGATTCGGTTTGCCAGTATTTTATTGAGGATTTTTGCATCAATGTTCATCAAGGATATTGGTCTAAAATTCTCTTTTTTGGTTGTGTCTCTGCCAGGCTTTGGTATCAGAATGATGCTGGCCTCATAAAATGAGTTAGGGAGGATTCCCTCTTTTTCTATTGATTGGAATAGTTTCAGAAGGAATGGTACCAGTTCCTCCTTGTACCTCTGGTAGAATTCGGCTGTGAATCCATCTGGTCCTGGACTCTTTTTGGTTGGTAAACTATTGATTATTGCCACAATTTCAGCTCCTGTTATTGGTCTATTCAGAGATTCAACTTCTTCCTGGTTTAGTCTTGGGAGAGTGTATGTGTCGAGGAATGTATCCATTTCTTCTAGATTTTCTAGTTTATTTGCGTAGAGGTGTTTGTAGTATTCTCTGATGGTAGTTTGTATTTCTGTGGGATTGGTGGTGATATCCCCTTTATCATTTTTTATTGTGTCTATTTGATTCTCCTCTCTTTTTTTCTTTATTAGTCTTGCTAGCGGTCTATCAATTTTGTTGATCCTTTCAAAAAACCAGCTCCTGGATTCATTGATTTTTTGAAGGGTTTTTTGTGTCTCTATTTCCTTCAGTTCTGCTCTGATTTTAGTTATTTCTTGCCTTCTGCTAGCTTTTGAATGTGTTTGCTCTTGCTTCTCTAGTTCTTTTAATTGTGATGTTAGGGTGTCAATTTTGGATCTTTCCTGCTTTCTCTTGTGGGCATTGAGTGCTATAAATTTCCCTCTACACACTGCTTTGAATGCGTCCCAGAGATTCTGGTATGTTGTGTCTTTGTTCTCGTTGGTTTCAAAGAACATCTTTATTTCTGCCTTCATTTCGTTATGTACCCAGTAGTCATTCAGGAGCAGGTTGTTCAGTTTCCATGTAGTTGAGCGGCTTTGAGTGAGATTCTTAATCCTGAGTTCTAGTTTGATTGCACTGTGGTCTGAGAGATAGTTTGTTATAATTTGTCTTCTTTTACATTTGCTGAGGAGAACTTTACTTCCAACTATGTGGTCAATTTTGGAATAGGTGTGGTGTGGTGCTGAGAAGAATGTATATTCTGTTGATTTGGGGTGGAGAGTTCTGTAGATGTCTATTAAGTCCGCTTGGTGCAGAGCTGAGTTCAATTCCTGGGTATCCTTGTTGACTTTCTGTCTCATTGATCTGTCTAATGTTGACAGTGGGGTGTTAAAGTCTCCTATTATTAATGTGTGGGAGTCTAAGTCTCTTTGTAGGTCACTCAGGACTTGCTTTATGAATCTGGGTGCTCCTGTATTGGGTGCATATATATTTAGGATAGTTAGCTCCTCTTGTTGAATTGATCCCTTTACCATTATGTAATGGCCTTCTTTGTCTCCTTTGATCTTTGTTGGTTTAAAGTCTGTTTTATCAGAGACTAGGATTGCAACCCCTGCCTTTTTTTGTTTTCCATTGGCTTGGTAGATCTTCCTCCATCCTTTTATTTTCAGCCTATGTGTGTCTCTGCACGTGAGATGGGTTTCCTGAATACACCACACTGATGGGTCTTGACTCTTTATCCAACTTGCCAGTCTGTGTCTTTTAATTGGAGAATTTAGTCCATTTACATTTAAAGTTGATATTGTTATGTGTGAATTTGATCCTGTCATTATGATGTTAGCTGGTGATTTTGCTCGTTAGTTGATGCAGTTTCTTCCTAGTCTCGATGGTCTTTACATTTTGGCATGATTTTGCAGCGGCTGGTACCGGTTGTTCCTTTCCATGTTTAGCACTTCCTTCAGGAGCTCTTTTAGGGCAGGCCTGGTGGTGACAAAATCTCTCAGCATTTGCTTGTCTGTAAAGTATTTTATTTCTCCTTCACTTATGAAGCTTAGTTTGGCTGGATATGAAATTCTGGGTTGAAAATTCTTTTCTTTAAGAATGTTGAATATTGGCCCCCAGTCTCTTCTGGCTTGCAGGGTTTCTGCCGAGAGATCCGCTGTTAGTCTGATGGGCTTCCCTTTGAGGGTAACCTGACCTTTCTCTCTGGCTGCTCTTAACATTTTTTCCTTCATTTCAACTTTGGTGAATCTGACAATTATGTGTCTTGGAGTTGCTCTTCTCGAGGAGTATCTTTGTGGCGTTCTCTGTATTTCCTGAATCTGAATGTTGGCCTGCCTTGCTAGATTGGGGAAGTTCTCCTGGATAATATCCTGCAGAGTGTTTTCCAATTTGGTTCCATTCTCCGCATCACTTTCAGGTACACCAATCAGACGTAGATTTGGTCTTTTCACATAGTCCCATATTTCTTGGAGGCTTTGCTCATTTCTTTTTATTCTTTTTTCTCTAAACTTCCCTTCTCGCTTCATTTCATTCATTTCATCTTCCATCGTTGATACCCTTTCTTCCAGTTGATCGCATCGGCTCCTGAGGCTTCTGCATTCTTCACGTAGTTCTCGAGCCTTGGTTTTCAGCTCCATCGGCTCCTTTAAGCACTTCTCTGTATTGGTTATTCTAGTTATACATTCTTCTAAATTTTTTTCAAAGTTTTCAACTTCTTTGCCTTTGGTTTGAATGTCCTCCCGTAGCTCAGAGTAATTTGATCGTCTGAAGCCTTCTTCTCTCAGCTCGTCAAAGTCATTCTCCATCCAGCTTTGTTCCGTTGCTGGTGAGGAACTGCGTTCCTTTGGAGGAGGAGAGGCGCTCTGCGTTTTAGAGTTTCCAGTTTTTCTGTTCTGTTTTTTCCCCATCTTTGTGGTTTTATCTACTTTTGGTCTTTGATGATGGTGATGTACAGATGGGTTTTCGGTGTGGATGTCCTTTCTGTTTGTTAGTTTTCCTTCTAACAGACAGGACCCTCAGCTGCAGGTCTGTTGGAATACCCTGCCGTGTGAGGTGTCAGTGTGCCCCTGCTGGGGGGTGCCTCCCAGTTAGGCTGCTCGGGGGTCAGGGGTCAGGGACCCACTTGAGGAGGTAGTCTGCCCGTTCTCAGATCTCCAGCTGCGTGCTGGGAGAACCACTGCTCTCTTCAAAGCTGTCAGACAGGGACATTTAAGTCTGCAGAGGTTACTGCTGTCTTTTTGTTTGTCTGTGCCCTGCCCCCAGAGGTGGAGCCTACAGAGGCAGGCAGGCCTCCTTGAGCTGTGGTGGGCTCCACCCAGTTCGAGCTTCCCGGCTGCTTTGTTTACCTAAGCAAGCCTGGGCAATGGCCGGCGCCCCTCCCCCAGCCTCGCTGCCACCTTGCAGTTTGATCTCAGACTGCTGTGCTAGCAATCAGCGAGATTCCGTGGGTGTAGGACCCTCCGAGCCAGGTGTGGGATATAGTCTCGTGGTGCGCCGTTTTTTAAGCAGGTCTGAAAAGCGCAATATTCGGGTGGGAGTGACCTGATTTTCCAGGTGCGTCCGTCACCCCTTTCTTTGACTCGGAGAGGGAACTCCCTGACCCCTTGCGCTTCCCAGGTGAGGCAATGCCTCGCCCTGCTTCGGTTCGCGCCCGGTGCGTGCACCCACTGGCCTGCGCCCACTGTCTGGCACTCCCTAGTGAGATGAACCCGGTACCTCAGATGGAAATGCAGAAATCACCCGTCTTCTGCGTCGCTCACGCTGGGAGCTGTAGACCGGAGCTGTTCCTATTCGGCCATCTTGGCTCCTCCCCCCAGAAAAGGACAATCTTAAATAAAATATTTTCTTTGTATCCCTGACACGTAGCACCATAATTATACATATATGATGCAAGTGAATGAAGAAATGAATGACTGCCTACATTGGGTGGATGGGTGGGTGGATGGATAAGTGGTTGGATGGATGAATGGATGATGGATGGCTAGGTGAGTGGATGGACAGATATATGGATGAGTGGAGGAATTACACAATATGTGAATATTGCCATATTCACTATAAAGTGAATGACTTGTCTGGTATTTAGCAATGCTCAACGCTCTCAGGGTACTGCTTTTTCTCACAGTACCACATTCTTTTTGGTCCTGGGAGTCATATTAATCCACTCACCAATAAGCAAATGGCTGAATAGTATCTAGAACCGGTGGATCTTCCTAGCCACCATAAAGTGGCTTCCCAGTGCTTCAGAAAACATTTTCATAAGAGCCAGAATTTGGGCAGAGTCACAGTTAATCTCGTCGCAGTGGAAATCTTCCCAGTACAGGATAGGCCTGAGTGCTGAGTGAGTGGCAGCGCTTCTGCTGCCAGCAGGAGACTCATTAAATATAGCCTCCTAGGTAACTAAAAGGTGATGTTGAGCCCATTAGAGAGCTTTGTAACACTGTGAACAGCATTTAGTGCTCAGCTGTTTCTCACCCACCTCTCAGATGGTCCCAGCAGGAAACATGTCTGTGGCTGTCATGTTTATAGCTAATTAATGTTTATTTATATTTTTAAACAAGGCTTTCACCTGTCATGCTTTAAAATAAATGTTCTGCTCTTCAATTAGAGGTTGTCAGAGCAGAGAGGAATTCTGTTTTGTTGTGGATTGAATGTGTGCGTGTTTAAATGTGTATTATATAGGGATTTCTTCCTTTTAAGTCCCACTCTCTGTCTCTCCTCTTAGAAGCTAAAGCTTTCTACTCAGAGAAACATACTTTTTTCAAATTGTGACCTGCTGTGCAGGCCATGTGCTTGCTTCCAGAGGGTAGACTGCAGAGATTACAGTGCCTTCTAAGATTGCAGGAGGGAGAAGGTCAGAATGAAAAGATTGTACATTTTCAGCAGTGTAGAACCAGTATTCTTGTTTTAACTTTGTAATTTCAATAGCTTTAGTAGTTTTTGGTTATGTGGATGAATTCTATAGTGGTAAAGTCCCCTTTAAGTGTACCTATCACCTGAATAGTGTACATTGTACCCAACAGGTAATTTTTCATTTCACTCCACTCCCACCAACCCCCTTCTGTTTCTCCAAGTGTCCATTATACCAGTCTGTATGCCTTTGCATACCCGTAGCTTATCCCACTTAATGAGAACATGTGATATTTCATTCCTGGGTTACTTCACATAGGATAATGGCCTCCAGTTCCATTCAAGTTGCTGCAAAAAATATTAATTCATTCTTTTTAAGGTTGAGTAGTATTCCATGGTATATGTATATGTGCATCTGTGTATAAATATATATATATACTGTGTATTTATATATATATACACTATATACATATATATACTCTGTGTGTATATATATATATATATATATATATATATACACAGACACAAACATATCTGTGTGCATATTTATATATGCCACATTTTCTTCATCCACTCATCAATTGATGGGGACTTAGGTTGATTCCATATCTTTGGGCAATTATGAATTATGCTGCAATAAACATATATGTGCAGGTATATTTTTAATACAATAACTTTTTTATTCCTTTGGGTAGATACCCAGTAGTGGGATTGCTGGATCAAATAGTAGATCTCCTTTTAGTTCTTTGAGAAATCACCATACTGTTTTTCATAGAGGTTGTACTAACATACATTCCCATTGGTAGTGTATAAGCATTCCCTTTTGACTGCATCCATGCCTACATCTGTTGTTTTTGATCTTTTAAAAACGGCCATTCTTACTGGCGTAAAGTGGTATCTCACTGCAGTTTTAATTTACATATCCCTGATAATTAGTGACGTTGAGCATTTTCTCATGTTTCTTGGTCACTCATATAACTTCTTTTGAGAAATATCTGTTCACGTCATTTAACCACATTTTAATAACATTATTTCTTTTTTGTCTTGCTGATTTGTTTGAGTTTCTTGTAGATTTTGGATATTAGTCTTTTATCAGATGTATAGTTTGCAAACATTTTCTCCCATTCTGTAGGTTGTCTGTTTACTCTGTTATTTCTTTTGCCATGCAAAAGGTACTTAGTTTAATTAGGTCCCATTTATTTATTTTTGTTTCTGTTGTCTTCACCATAAATTGGAGTCTTCACCATAAATTATTTGCCTATGCCTATATCCAGAAGAGTTTTTCGTAGGTTTTCTTTGAAAATTTTTACAGACTCAGATCTTAGATTTAAGTCTTTAATTCATCTTGAGTTAATTTTTGTATTTGGTGAGAGACAGGGATCCAGGTTCATTCTTCTACATGTGGCTATCCAATTTTCCCAGCGTCATTTACTGAATATATATTTTTTCTACTTGGTCAAAGATTAGTTAATTGTAGGTGGCTGGCTTTATCTCTGGGTTCTCTATTCTGTTCCATTGGTCTATGTGCCTACTTTTATACCAGTGCCATGCTGATTTGGTAAATATAGACTGGTAGTATAACTTGAAATCCAGTAATGTGATGCCTTCAGATTATTCTTTTTGCTAAGGTTTCAGCTATTTTTTGGTTCCATATAAATTTTAGGATTGTTTTTTCTAATTCTGTGAAAAATGATGTTAGTATTTTGATAGGAATTGCATTAAATCTGTAGATCACTTTGGGAAATATGGTGATTTTCAAAATATTGATTCTTCCTATCCATGAGCATGGGATATTTTTCCATTTGTCGGTGTCATGTCTGATTTCTTTTATCAGTGTTTTGTGGTTCTTGTTGTAGTGATCTTTTACCTTCCTTGTTAAATATATTCCTGGGTATTTTTTTTTTGTAGCTATTGTTAATAAAACGGAGTTCTTGATTTTATTCTCAGCTGGTTGTTATTGGTATACAGCAGTGCTATTGATTAGTGTACATTGATTTTGTAGCCTGAGACTTTACTGAATTCAGTTATCAAATGTAAGAGTCTATTGAGGGAGTCTGTAGGGTTTCCTAGGTATATGATCATATCATTAGCAAACAGAAATAATTTGATTTCCTCTTTTCCAATTTGGATGCCCTTTATTTCTTTCTCTTGCCTGATTGCTCTGGCTAGGACTTTCAGAATGAGGATTCTTAAGAGAAAAGAATCCACTTTGTTCTCTAAGCAAAAAAAGATTGACTCAGCAAGACTAGAGGGTTCAAATCCTGCACACTCTGAAATAAGATCTGTCCCTTGAATGACTCCTAGGAAATAAACTTCACACTCTTGGAATATTCTGCTGGATAACAGATCTTTCTTTACCTTGGGACTTGGGCCATGCCAGATGGTTGATGCTAACAATGTGACTTATGGTGGGGCTCTAGGACCATGAGATATCAATTTGACCTCTGGAGAGATGGGAGACAGAGTAACTAAGATCAGCCACGTAGGATATTTGATGGCTACATAACTGACCCCCCAACAAAAACCCTGGACACCAGAGCTAAGTGAGGTTTCCTGGTTGGCAACCCATATTGTTGCTGGAGAGTCAAGCACTGTCTGTGTATCTCTACTGGGCAAGGATACCTGGAAATTTGTACCTTGTCTCTCCTGTACTCTGCCATGAATGCCATTTACCTTTTCTGATTTTAATCTGTGTCCTCTGAAGGTAATACACTGTAATTATGAATATAACTGCTATTCTGAGTCCTGTGAGTCCTTCTAAGGAATCACTGAGCCTGCGGATAGTCATGGAGCTCCCCAACACACGCTTTCAACAGTAAGTAATGAAGAGAGGCTATGTTGCAGGGTAGAAAAACATATCAGAACTGAATTCCCACTCTGCCATACACCTCTGGGTGATCTCATTGAAATCAGTTTACTTGTTCATCTCTTTTGAGATTTAAATAAGATTCTACATTATATATTCATCCATTTTAAAAATAAATATTCATTGAATGTGCCACCTTTTTGTCACATAGTAGATGTTCAAAAAGTGGCTAAAGGTAGAGATGATTAATTGATTTGGCCCGTATGTGAGCTTCTTCACTCTATTTTAAGTTTGTTAGGTTAGGTAAGGACTCTGAATTTGGACGTATGTCCCTCTACATGTTTGTAGACAGGTATGTTCACAGTTTGTAGTTAATAAATGAGCATTTTCATATGGTTACTTGGCTGCCATTTTCTCTTTATTATCTTGAGCCAAGTCCTCTGGTTTCAAATAGTGTTTTTTCAATCAATTGTATAGTACTAGAGGCTTGGGAAAACAGCCTAGATATAAAAATCCCTGGGGCAGTGCCAGAATAAAATTTGGAATATAAGTATTAGTTGAACATAAACACCTAGAGGATTTCGTTCCAAACACTATTTAATAGGTATATACATTTTCTTTCTTATGCAATAACTGAGATACCAGAAAAATGAAGACTCAGGATATGGAATGAAATATGATTTTTTGCCCAGTTTTTACCAATGACTACTACGCTGGGGGTTTGCCTTTGTTGTGGGGTCAATTGTGTCCCCCCAAAAGATGTATTCAAGTTCTAATCCCTGGTACTTGTGAATGTAACCTTACTTGGAAACAGGGTCTTTGCAGGTATGATAAAACTATGATGAGGCCATACTTAATTAGAATAAGCCCTAATACAATGACTAATGTCCTTATTAGAAGAGGGCAACTTGGACACAGAGGGAAGATGGCCTTGTGAAGACAGAGGCAAAGATTAGAGTTACACTGCCACAAGCCCAGGAATGCTAAAGATTGCTAGCAACCACCAGAAGCTGGAACAGACAAAGAAGGATTATTCCTTAGAGCCATCAGAGTGGGCATGATCCTGCCAACACCCTGATTCCAGACTCACACCTCCAGAAATGTGAGATAAGTTTCTCTGGCATTACACAAAGCTACCCAGTTGTGGCAGTTTGGTACAGCAGCCCAGGAAGTCAATGCACCATGCATCCTCCATTCTATCTTGTCATACATAGGTTTTTGGTCATTGTCTATTCTTGCCTTGGCAGAATATACTCTGCTTCCTGGAAGGTAGAAGGAAGCAGCCAGGAAGGTGGAGGCAGAAGGAAGTGACTCACCACGGGACTTCGGCCAATGCTGCTCAGGTGGTAGAGGAGGCCTTTGGCATGGTAAATGGTTGGCTGCAGATGAGCACTGGGAGAAAGCCATTGTCTGTTCAAATCTTCCCCGCTCAGTGAGCATCTGTGGCTACAGGAACAAATAATAAGCAAATAAATACACATTCAGAAGAAAATAACTTGAGAAAATAAAGCTCCACAAGATAAACAATTAAACTAATGACTTCAAAACTTTCCTCTGATTTCTTCCCAATTGGCATCAATTTCAGATGTCTAGAAAGCTGTAGATCTGTCCTTTAAGCTCCAAAGTATCATAATTATTCACAACCCCCAAATGAACTAGAAACCATATTTGACTTGCTATCAGATTATCAGAGTTTTAAGACAAAGTTGGAAAATGTAGTTCCCCATTATATACATCCATGGGGAATACATTTAATAAATTTCTCTAGGCTATGCGTTCTTCAGTTCTACAGATAATTAAGTTGCATTCAATCTATCATACTTGGTGTGTTACATATGATATTTCCAGCTGGTTCAATAACTCTGCAAGGTAGACATTAGAACACCCCAATGAAGAGAGTGAGGCTTATAAATTATTAAATGGCTGGAGATCTAGGCCATAAGAAGGAGCTAGGCTTTCCCCCCAGATTTATTTGCTTCTAACCCTGTTCTCTCTCTTCTATTGCACTGCTTGACATTTACCAAGAGAATCAGAGTGCCTTTTTCAACTATATCATCATGGTATATTAGAGCAATAATGAGCTCAAAATCATACATTCCCTTATTTGGGGGAATGATGATGTTCGTATTCAAAAGTACCAAGTTACTTTACAAAAGTGACCTAGCTGGTAGTGAAAGGATTGACTGCCACTCACAGTGAGGAAACTGAGATGCTGAGTTGTCAGGCAGAGTGATCCTAAAAACCCACAACCACCAGAGATTACCAAGGGCAGCCCCTGCACAGGACACATTCCCAGTAGTCCTGCTAAGGTATTATTTACTCAGTAGGGTCAATGAGCTAAGTGCCACAGATTGGGAGGATCAGCACAGCATCCCCAACACCTCCAGCACCCCCAACTCCTCCCAAATCCTCCACCATTGTCCTTCCACACCCAAGCTCAGTGGAATTGCTAACAGTTCCCACTTGACTTATGGCCTCCAGAAGTGTGAAATGAGTTTCTGTTGTTTTAAGCCACCCAGTTTGTTGTAGTGTGCTGCAACAGCCCTAAGAAACCAGTACACAATACATCACCCATTCTATCTTATCATACATAGGTCTTGGCTGGGGCTCCTCCATCTTCATGTACCCCTACCTCTTCAACGTTTAGGGGATCAATCTGCAGGGGAACTTTCCCTGATTTTCCAGGCCATTGCATCTATCTCCTATTTGCTGCAATAACATCCTGAGGCCCCCTTGATCAGAGTCCTTATAAAACCATTTTGGATGGATTTTTATTTTTATTTCTCTTGACTTCCCAATTAGACTAGGAGCCTCCTGGGGGCAGGGACAGTGATAGTCTCTTGGTCACCATCAAAACTCTAATATAGTAACTCTGTCAAGAGTTGATATTGGATAAATAATTTGGAAAGAATAAATTTACCAGCATTCATATGCAGAATCAGATATGATTTCTGTTTTGTTTTGTTTGAAACACAGTGTTTTCAATAAACATTGGAGGTAAAAAGAAGGTTCAGTCTTCAGTCTTCTCCTTTTACCACTTATTCATTTCCATGTTCCTGAAATTATCTTTAAATATTAGCTTCCTGTTGCCTGTCAGACCTTCTTACAACTTACTGGAAACTAAAAATCTTCAGATTAATCACTTATCCTGATTTCTCCATTAAAATATTTTGACTTGATAAATGGTAGGTCTTGTGCATGTTCCTCTCTGGCATTTTTTATTCTTTGCCTGCTTTTTTTCTCCCTTTCTGTTTTTAATAGCAATGACATCTAGAAATAGAGTTTATCAGTTCTGCCTGGTGACCAAGGATGAAGGTAAAATATGAAGCAGATTTTCAATGCCGATAGCAACAGAAAGGAACAGGCAGCCCAGACTTGCTCCCAAGCACATTTGCTGTGTTTAAATGAATTGCTTTTCTCAAATCAAGGTACTTGCAGGCACAACATCCCAGAGCCCCAGGATTCTCTTTGACTGCTCTGTGATTTCTCCTTGCCTTGACCTGGATTCTCATCAACACTGGGGATTTGTTTTTTCCTTTGTAACACTGACTGTGACGAAATTAGTTGAGGCCCTTTAAAAGCATTTCTGCTTGTATAAATGAAAATGCAAGCATACATGTGTCCAGCAGCCAGCAATTCTGTATGAACTCTCTCTACATCTTCTTTCCCTATGCTCCATGGAAACCAAGTTCAGGGGCAACATCTACATGGAGAAGGCTCACGTATTACCACTTTGCAGAAATACTATTTTAGATCACAATTTCCAAGAATAAAAAAAATAAAGTTTTGTGCTGAAACCAGAAGCCCAAATTTGAATAAGACCTAGTTCCAACTCCAAGCTGCTACCAGATATAGGATTTGAGACCTCTTTGAGAGTCAACATTCTCATGTGTGAAATAAATAAGTCAAATCTCCCCCTAGGTTTATTTTGAGGATCGAATGAAATAGCTATTTTAGATATCCCTATAGAGAAATATCATATACTTCTATCTCTACCTATGTCTGTGTGCATGACTATATCCACATCTGTATCTATGTCTACATCTTCATCTACATCTAAAATGCTCAAGGATGCATAGCACAACTTTGACTACATTCATTGGTTCCTTACCTCATCCTAATTTTTTTTTCTTATAAAGAATAATCAGATAGCTATATGCAGGGTGAATGGAAGGGAGAAGTGTCTTGACTAAGAACTCCAGGCAAGAGGCTGTGGTCATTTTTAAGTAACAGTGTACTTGGACACACCTAAGGGTAGAGGCAGTAGGCTGAACAGAAAAGAATTCATCTAAGAAAAAATGCAAAGAAATAATCAGTAGAAATTGCTGATTGAAATTTGGGCTGTTAAACAGCACACAAAGGAGGACCACATCTAAGAATATTTAAACATAGAGATTTGGAGAGAAATTGGGCCAATGTGAGACATACAGAACTTAAGAAAGCTCTTATTTTGGGGAAAATTTGGTTTGTTTGTTGTCTGTTTTGGAGGTAGAGGCAATGAATCATTCCATTTGTGTAGATAGGTTGTGTGGATTTGGGAAGCCCATGTGATTGTATTTGTCTTCAGGACTCTATGGTGGTTATGATTTGGAGAGTATCTCTGTGTGTGACTAGGGCTTTGGCAGTCCCTGTATCTATGCAAATGCAGGTTATTATAATATGTACAACACCTAACTTGAGTGCTTTTCCTTTTAAAGTGAATCCATTTGCTTCTGATCTCTGAATCCATTTGGCATTTTGTGTTAATAATATCAGAGATTCATGCAGTCAGAAGAGCTGTTGCTGCTCTTCCCAGGGATTTAAGCATTTGAAGATGAAATGCACCCTATCTTATTATCTACTGTAGCATTTCTGAAATGACAGCTGCTCCTTCTATGGGGGGAGAATTAGCAGATGGACAGCTATGACTGGCTGGCAATAAATTCAGTGCCTATAATTTCTGAAAAGTGGTCCTCTCTCAAATAGTTTGAAGTTCTGCTTTCTTTATAAGAATCATAAAATGGTGATTATTGCTATAGTTGGCCCTCTGTATCCATGAATATGGAGGGCCAACTGTACTAAGCCATTTTATATAAGAGGCTTGAGCATCCACGAATTTTGATATCCATGGAGGTGGGTGTGGGGAAGGTGTCCTGGAACCAATAATCTGCAAATATCAAAGGATGATGTTATTTTTCCCTTCACTGAAAATAAGTTACAGGGAAAAATTATCCACTTCATTTTGTTTTTCACAAATAAAGACATTTGATCTGACTTGTCCTCCTTATTTTAAAAAGCTTTAGTTTAAATAGCTAGTTTAAGATAAAGTTTATAGGCACTAAATATGCCAGATCTAGGATGCTCAGATATCCAGTTTGTCTAGGAATGCTGCATTTTTAGCTTTGAAATGCTTGCATCCCTGTAACTCTCTCAACAAATGCACACCAGAGATGTGATAACCTTGCCTAGATCCTTAATTTTAGAAGGTGGTACAGAGTTGGAATACTTCACCAGAACTAGACTGAATTATTTTGCACTGACTGAATGTTTTTAGGTGGGAATTTCATATGCCACTGAGGGTCAGGCATCCTTATTGCCTATGTTTACCTTGATTGTTTCCCACACGCATTATCTTTCTGTTCTTTTCAGGCATTTGCAGCCAATGTCTGGAAATCCTTAAAACTGAGGTTTTTGTGGGGCATATCTTTTTCCTTAAGAAAAGAGAAGACAGCTTCTGATCTCCAGAAAATATGGTCATTTTATGACCAAACAAAAGCATCTCAACTGAAATTATCGAAGAGTCAATCAGCAGCACTAGTCCTAACTAAAGGGTCACTGAATAGAAGCCACCAGCTGCATGACATTCTGATTAAAAGGGAACCTTAAAGGCTGGACAGTCTAAAGGACAATGATGCCACGAAAAATAATTCTTTTAACATTAATTGTGGATCTCGTTTATCTACTGAGAACAGGGATCCTCCAGAGGTTGGGAAACAAGTAACATAACCGCGGGCTTTAACAACTAGATCCTGAACTACCAGAACTCCTAAAGCCAAGAAAGGACCACAAGCAGAGACAGAGGAAAAGTGAGTCACCTTCTAAAAATGAATCTATAGGGCTGCCGTCCCAATACAAGAGGATTCAAAAATCTCCCATCCGTCCATGACTGAAAAACAGAGGGATAGAGCCCATCAGACTGAATGAATGATGCCAGGCTAGATAATATTAGTGCCTGCAGCACAGCAAGCTCTGGAGCCTAAAGAGAGGCAGCATGTTTGAGATTTAGGCAGCAGCTTCGCCATTCACTGTACATCCTAGGTGAAGAAGGCAGGAAGGGTGCAGGAGGAGAATATCTATGAAGGCAAAGAGATGCATGAAAGCTTCAAGAACACGACGAAGAGCATGGGGGACTATCGGCCAGACACTGCACCCAGAGCTTTCCAAATAAACATGGTTTGGATGGAGAAAAGAAAAAAGAGGAAAAAACCAAAAGACAACTTCATTTCAAAGCTACAGTTGTTCTAAAGCTCAAAACAACCAGGGTTGTCAGGGACATGTTATTATGTTCAGGATATTTTTTGTCACGCAAAATGCTCAGGAGAGTCAATAATCCAGAGAGCAAGGGAAGATAAGAGATCTAACACAGGTGTTCCTACACACCTCCAGGAACCCAGAAATGGGTTACCAGAGGCATGATCACCCCAGAGCCCAGAAATGGGAAAGCCAAAATCTTTAAAGATAAGCCAGAAGAACTGACCTGGGTTCAAATGTCATCTTTGTGAAAGAAATTACCCATAGTTAACATTTGAACTTTGGTAGGTCTAAATACAAAATAGTTCTTTATGCCCTTGTTCCTCCAAGGGTAGTCACAAAGGAGGAGCAACAACATTACCTGGTAGCCTGTGAGATATGTAGAAACTCTAGTCCCAACCCTGAGTCTGCATTTTAACAAGATCCTAATGGACTGTGTATGCACATTAAAGTGAAAGAAGCAGTGCTTTCTACTAGAATTTAAGGTAAGAAGAAAATTAACATTCACAAAGGAATTATTACTTTATAAAGGGATTTATTGCCACCATGCTTCCAGAACTAGAACACATATTTAGGACTTTTAGCATCTCATCTGGAGCAGAGCCAGCTCCAAAAGCTTGGAGACACTCCCACTTACATACTTGCCCAACCCATTTTTCCCACTGTTGTGTTAGTCTCTTACATGTTTTAATTTGAACACCAATAGAGAAGATTAAAATGTGGTTTTCATTTCTAAGTTATTTTCACTAGTCTGATTTCATAATATCATTCAGCTATTCAATGGGGCAATTCAAAAGATCACACGACCAGGACAACTTCAGCTGAAATCAGCTCAGACCAGATTAAGTGATGAGCCAGATTAGCTGCAAATATAGAGAGAGCCCTACCGCATCACTTGCATCAATCAAGAACACGTGATCAGTTAAATCACTTTTTTTTTTTTTTTTTTTTTGAGATGGAGTTTCACTCTTGTCAACCAGGCTAGAGCACCATCCCGGCTCACTGCAACCTCCGCCTCCTGGGTTCAAGCGATTCTCCTGCCTCAGCCTCCAGAGTAGCTGGGATTACAGGCATGTGCCGCCACGCCCAGCTAATTTTTTGTATTTTTAGTAGAGACAGGGTTTCGCCATGTTGACCAGGCTGGTCTCAAACTCCTGACCTCAGGTGATCTGCCCACCTTGGCCTTCCAAAGTGCTGGGATGACAGGCGTCAGCCACCGCACCCAGCCAGTTAATTCACATTTCTACACAACACTTGTTCCCACATACAACTGACTGAATAAATTAAATATTACTCCCTGTGAAACAGTCAGCCCTCTGCGTTGGAAGTTTCTAAAGTTACGTCACCAGACTGAAAGGAAAATATATCTCGAGACCTCAAGATCACTAAGCTAAAGGGAAAAGTCAAGCTGGGAACTGCACAACCTTCCTCCCATTTTATTACCAAATAAGATAGCTACAAAGATAGAAAAGCTACATACCTGCCTCACAATTTGCCAACAAGGAGATTCCTTGTGGACAAAGATGACGGAACTCAAAGCCAACCCTCCGTTCACCTGAGACAAATGCATATATAATGGCTTTCTCTGCCCTGTTGTTTCACTAAGCCAGACTCAGGCATAAGTGACTACTCCTCTAGTTTCCTCTCACATGGAACTTGTGTATTCAGTAAAAGGCTAATCAGAGTCTCAAAAGAATGCAACTGTTTGTCTCTTATCTACCTATGACCTGGAAGCTCCCTCCCCCGCTTTGAGTTGTCCCACCTTTCTGAACCCAATCAATGTACATCTTACACATATTAATTGCTATCTCATGTCTCCCTAAAATGTATAAAACCAAGCTATGCCCCAACCACCTCGGGCACATGTCATCAGGACTGCTGAGGCTGTGTCACGGGCACGTCCTTAACACTGCCAAAACAAACTTTTTAAATTGATTGAGATCTGTCTCAGATACTTTTGTGTTCACAAGACCAACAACTGTTTGTGAAGAATTTGCCAAATACACATGCAAGTGAACAGTGAAACCTTAGGCTGTGCTACTAATTCTGAGGCCAGCCAGCCAACAACCACTTGAAGTCATCCATTGCAACCAGCTGACATTTTGAACAACATAACATTATTTAGTAGATAAAACTAAGGGTCATTTATTTAAAATCTGAAATTTTAAATTCTTTTTAATTCTCACAAAAAATTGTTAGAATAGGAAATAATAAAAGACAATGTTTAAAAATCAAGAACTAATTATTATTTTTATAATAATTAAAGCAAATAGAAACCTTTGAAAAATTCCACACCCACTCCTGATAAAGACAATCAAGAAAATAAGAATTGATAGATACTGTGCGTGTATGTGTGTATATACACACATACAGGCACACATGCACACATTCCTAAAGCCAGGAATTCTAAAAGTCTTAAAGGAAGAATTTTATTTAATGGAGAAACTCCAGAGGAATTTCCACTAAGAGCAGGCACAAGGTAATGAGGATCACTCTCTCCACAACTCTTCAATGTATAATTAGAAGTATTACCCAATGAACCTAGACAAGAGGTATTATTCAGAAGCATGCAAATCAGTAAAGAAGATCTGAAACCATGTGTATTTGCAGATAACATTGCAGCATACCTAGAAAACCAACTATTAACTCAAACAGTAAAGGAATTCAGTAAAGTAGCAGGATACAATATTAGCATACAAAGGTAAATTTCCATAAAGGAGAGTAGTTGAATAATTTGGTGCCGTCACAAAATGAAGTATTATGCAACTATGTAAAAAAAGAGGAAAATCCCAATGAGTTGATATGGAGTGGTAATTTTTAGGATGTGGAGTTAAATGATAAAGTTGAATGAAATATAACTTTTACAAATAAAAATATACAGTTAAGGGATAAAATAGCATAGCTAAGAATGAAGGAGATGAACAATAAACATGCATTTATTCCTTTGTGCAAGAAAATACAAGAAAGATAAATCAGAAACTAATAAGACTGATGGCCTAATGGACATGGGGTGGACATGGGGTATAACAAACAGAGAATGGGTAACTGGGAATGGGGTAAGAAGACTGAGGGGCAAGTGACATTTCCCTGAGCATATATTTTTGTCTAATTTCAACTTTTAGAACCAAGTTAACATTTCACATATTCATATCAATAAATAAATAAATATAATCAAACACAAGAGCCATGGAGAAAACCCAAATGGGTTACAAACATTTATAAATAAACTCTGTCACAAGTGACTAACACTAAACGAAGTAAGAAGAAAAGAACTGAACTGAGTAACTTTAGAAAATAAAATTTTGGCTATAAATGGTAAAGCTAAGGATAAAAAGAACAATACACAAATTTGTTTTTCATAGCAGTGCACAATTCTGAGCTGGCAATTCTAAAACTACTTTATGTGTATTCTAGGATTGAATAAATAAGTAAATCAATTATGAATAACAACAACCAGGTTTCTCACTGTTACAGAAAGGAATTACAAATAAGGAATTAACTCTGTGATTTTGTATTGAAATCAGAGGTATCAGCATAAACTCATGATTTTAAATTTACAGATAGATAAAGAAATAGATGTGTATGTGTGTGTGTGTGTGTGTGTGTGTGTTTGTGTGTGTATTCATACATCTATTTCCCAGCTCTGTCTGCTAGAAGAACCGAGAAATACTAACAAGCAAGAAACATATCTAGTTCCCAGATATCAGTTTCTAAATACCATTATTGAATAAAAGAAACCAGGGCTGCTTGAAGAAATGCCTGGTTTCAGAGGTGGGGCAGAAGAAAAGAATATCAGTCTGGAACAGAATATATAATGGTGCCAAAAAATAAGGAAGTATTTTTAAATAATGGAGACATGTTGAAATGACGCAGAGATCAATTCTAAGGGAACCACAATGGTGAAATGCAGTAAGATTTGACCACGAACAATAGTACTATGTTATAACCCATAGAATAAATTAAATATTCATAAATTCATAGTGATTTAAATAAATAAGTAGGGAAGAAGGAATAGCTCTTAATTTTAGTAGAATTCCAATTAGTACATAGAGAAGTAGATTTATACATTTAGAGAAAACTTAAAAAACTTATCATTTGACAAACATCACAGTAATAATCGATACAAGCAACAATCAGCAATGTAGCTAAAGTTAGTGGGTAAAACTATAATGAGCAACAGAAGATTCACATCAGAGTATCTCCCCACAAGACACTTACTAATCCCAAAGCAAATAATAGTAACTTTATGATGGAGAAGTCTGGAAGATACCACTTTATTCAAATGATCAAAGTTAACATCACCATTTGTGAGGCATGTCAACATCACATGCCCCTGATATGATACAACTGAGAAGGGTACAACATCACCTGTGTGACAACCTTGCCAGAAATACAAAGCCACTATTTAATAATGAGGAAACATCAGACAAACCCAATTCAAGGGATATTCTATATATAACTCACCAGTACTCTTCAAAAAAGTCAAGATAAACAGAAAAAAAACCTGAGGAACTATTTTAGATTAGAGGAGATTGAGAAGACACAACTACTAAATGCAATATATGATCCTGGAAAAACAACATTATTGGAATGATTGGTGAAATCTGAATAATGTATGTAATTAATACTAGTATATTAATGTTAGTTTCCTGGTTTTGATCATTATCTTACAGATATGTAAAATGTTAGCATTTAGGTAAGCTGGGTGAAAGATATGCAGGAATATTTTTATACTATTACTGTAACTTTGACAGATACAAATTATTTCAAAATGAATACTTAAAAGAGTTTTAAAAGTTATAACTTGAAAAAAGGAAAAAATCTATAATTTAAAAAAAATAATAACTGGAAAAACTCAAAAATTAGGTGATAATAAATGGTTAAAAAAAGAAAATATCATTTTGTAAATAAAACCTAGTGTAGAAAGAACACAAACATGAATAAATAAGACAAATAATGCCTTTAGAGAAAAATGTAAAATTAAAAACTTTGTTTTAATTCTGTAGAAGGGTAGAAAAAGATAACAAGGATTCAAGGCAAAGTGACAAATATTGAAGACAGGCAAAGAACATCTAACATATGAATAATAGTAGTTTCTGAAAAAGAAAAAGCCAAGGATCAAAAGAAATACTAAGACTTCAACCAATACCAAGAGATAATCTAGTGATATTAATGGATTTTAAAGAAAAAGAAACTCATTGGAAATCTAGGTAATAACAGGATATGACTTACCAAGGAAAAAATTAGATTACACCTTTTTGAGGACAATGTTTCAAAAGAAAATTGAACAAGGATATTCAAAGTATTAAATAAAAATATTTAAATAAAGAAAATGCGAGACAATGATTTGATGTCCAGAAAAACTGATTTTTCAAATATAGAGGTATAGACAAATTCTTATCAATATTCAAGAACCTAGGAAATATCATTCCCCATAAGCCTTGTCCTTAGAAATATATTAGAAAAAACCCAGATAAACAAAATGAGCAGAAAGATATGGACATTTTCAATTTTTGCAAAAGTAATTTGAGGACACCTCAGCGACAGACTTGATTTTACCTTACTATAATGGTTTTTTCCACCAGACATTCAGCACTTTAAAGACAAGATAGTGTTTTGTGTACCTCTGTGTCCCCAGAGCCTGAAAGAGTAGCTGGAACACAGATATTATTTCATAAACGTATATTCACATGAATTAAAATGGCATTTAATTGTATATTTTAATGTCCTAAACTGTGCTCAAAACCTTTTTGTTAAACCTAAAAAGCAAAATAAATGCTTTCTGACACCACAAAAGCAAGAACACATTATTCTCTACATTTATTTATATCTTGGTTGTCATGTCTGTAATGTAAAATGAAATGGATAATTATATATTTCATTTAATATTGAAAGCTCCTATCACACGGGAAAAATAAATGAGCCCTACTTCATCCTTTTGTTTTGTTTTAGACCAGGTGAGTATCAAAAGCTGTTCTTCCTCCCAATCACCATTATCTCAATCATCATCATCATCACCACCATTATAGTTCACATTCATTGAGCACTTATTTTGTACCATGCCTTTTATTAACTGCTATATGTATTCTCCTCATGGATCTTCACAACAACCCTAGAGGCATTTATAATTATAATTTCCATTTTGCACATGAGAAAGTTGAGATTTACAGATGTTAAGTAACCTGCCTAAGGTCACACAGCTAGAGTAGCCTCTGAATAAAGAGTAAACTATGTAACAGAGAGGACAGTTACTTATAAGAAGCACAAATGTCCTAACCATCTAATTAGCATGATTTATCCAGTGTTTGCAATGGATGAAAAGGGATGGGGAAGAAGCCTACAGAAATGAAAGGTGTCTGCTCCCCACACCTATATGAACCAATGTGTCTCAGCTTCTATCTGATTTGCCTGTTGAACTCTGGAGTCCAATTTTGTTTGAAGAAAGGATTTCACTGCTTAATATTTTAAAAATGGATGGGATGTGAGGCCAGTGCTGTCACCTGACCATAAGCCTTAGAAATCTTCTGACATCCTTGTGGTTTTCTTCTATGTAAAATTAATATTCCTCTTCCCATTTGACAAGTTTGTTTCAGGTACAAAATTATATTCAAAAGACAAAAATGTCATATAAAAACACTTTATTCACTAATTCACCACACATTTGTTGTTCAACTAGAACACCTACTATGTGTCGGATACTATTCTTATTCTGAGGATTACAGCAGTGAATAAGTCCTTCCAGGAATTTACATTCTGGGGATTATTATCAAGTGCCAGCTCCAAGCTGATATTATGTCTCTCTCGTTCTGACAATTTCTCAGCACCAACCCATCACAGTGGTCAGAAGGTGATAGACAATGAATTCACCTTTATCTGAGGAATAAATGAAAGTCAACTCCCCATTCTACTGCTGTCAGAATATTTTTTCTCTGGACAGTCAACTCTAAATTAAAACTGCAGCTTTATTACTGTGAATTCAACAGGTTTAATTATGAAATATTGATTGTTCCTGATCATCTCCATCTCAGCTGGGGCTTCCTCTAGGCTGCTGTAGTCTGCTTTGGATTAAAAGTCACTGTATATTCCTTGTTGGAGAGAAATCTTTAATAGAAAAATATCATGTAATGTTCCAAATCATTAACATTAAGAAAAATAGACATTGTTTTGTATAAACTTGCAATAGAACTTCTAGTCTTCTATCCCTACTGCAAAAAAGTTGATAAAGAAATTTAGAGCTGAGTTTTCTCAAAGAAGCTCAGAAATTAGAGTCCTGTAATGAATCATAAGACCCCATATTTATTTTCCTAGGTGGGAAGAATGCATGGGGTTTTACTTGTTCCCTTTTTCTATGCCTAAGAGCCTTCTTCATATTCAGGTAAGTTTTCTTTGCAGGCCATGAAGGAATTCCCCTGATGAGTTGATCAAGCCAAAATGTGTCTCTAGAGAGTAACAACTCTTCTCTTTCCTGCTAACTAGCAGATGTAGAAAAGAAGGTGATTCTTATGCTTTCTTTAGAGGATGTCAATGTGTTTAACTCTGGATGTATAATAAAATCCTGATTAGTCTCTTAGGACACGGGACACAGGTACAGAAAAATAATTTCTGCTGATTGGGTCTTTAAATAGCTAGGAAACATTTATCCCATTCCCTGAAAGCAATGCTGACTGCCAATACCTTCCTAGGTAAAAGAATGTCAAGAGTCATCTTGGAATTCTGGAGTTCCTTTTCCTTGATTTCCTGGTAGGAGAAAATGGATAGCACTCAGTGCCACAGAAGAAATCAGGAAAAAAAAAAAAAAATGAGCTTCAGCCTTGTTTTGACACTTGCTACAGTGTAATCCTAAGCAAGCTCCGTAGTTTTGGTTGGCTCAGAGATGTTGTTTTGTTTGTTTTGCTGTTGTTGTTTTTAAAGCAGAAAATTAGAACACATGATCTCTATCCAAGGTGACTTTCTCCTTTGAAAATGCTAATTCTAGGTAAAGGCATGCAAAAGAAAAGACAAAGTGTCAGTGACATAAATAAGGGAAGAGAAAGAGAGGGGAGGTAGGTTATAAGGTTTTATTTTTTGAAACCAAATTCATAAGAAGAAAAATTGTCTAAGATTTATTATCTCCTATATAAATTACAGCAATTGCCTCCTCACCGTTTTTCTCATCTTCTATCTATCGTAATGTTTCTCCTCCAATTTGACATAATTCCAAAAGTATATTCAAATTCTTTCACTGACTCCTGTTACCTAAAAAAGGATGTGTAAACTACTTTGGCTGACATTCAAGATTTTCTACAAACTAGTCTCATCTCACCAGTCCAACTCAATCTTCTATTACTGCCCAACACAAACCCAGTGGTCCAAGCAAACCATGTTTCCTTATTGTTCCCAGGCCACTATGTGCTCTCCCAACTCTCAAATCCCCTCACCTGCTGATGGAGCCATGTCTGCAGACCCAATCTTTTTCTTCTCCATCTCTTTCTTATTCTACCTGTCTTTCAGGAAACTTATCAAGCCTCGCCCCTTTCATGAGACTTCCTTTGACTACAATCTGTAGCAATTTCTCCAACTTCTAAAATTCCTTGAGAAAACAAAAATGGTGAAAAGTGTATGTGCGTGTCACCGGATTCTGGCTGTGTGCATTCAAGTCTGGATCTCTCACTTGCTGTATAAACTTGACCAAGTTATTTAACTTTGTTAAATTTTAGACTCTCAGTATCAGATGACGAACAAGCCTGTCTTTTTATTTCGACCTAAGGGTGATACCAGTATTTAACTCACAGGATTTTTGATTGTTTGTTTCTTAGGCTTAAGTGTCATAACACACTTAAGGCACTTAGCAAAATGCTTCGTATGTACTCAGTGATGAACAAATGTTTGCATTTTTTAAAAGCAGTTCTTTTTAGCATTCACATTTGCATCACCATCAATACTGTTCTGAATTTTCGCTTAACTACAGATTTAGACTATAAATCATTTGAGGATAGTACTGCATCTTGTATGTTTATTGAATCTGCTTCAATACTCATCATCATGTCCTACATTTAATGGATCTCAGTTACTACTTGTAATATATAATCTTAGAGACTAATTGGATCATCAATATAGGGCTTTTCTGAGACTTTCAGTAAATCATAACAATAAAATAAAAATAAGAGGAGAAAAAGCTATATTTATCATTTAATCCTCGAAAAAAATCCTGTTTTATATTTGAAGAAACTGCAATTCACAAGGTTTATGTAACTGTTCATAGTCATGTATTTCAAGCATGAATTTGATCCCAGGTCTTTAGCCAATGAAAAATAGGTTTCCTGGAAAAAGTCTGGAAATTTCTTTACCTAAAGCACAATCTTTTTCTAATCCCTTCTTTTTTGTCATTATTTTTCCCCTCTCTCTCTTAACACACTTTGTACTGTTTTGTTACAGAAAAGCTTTTGTGTTGGTTTCAATTCTATCCAGATCTTCCACAACCTGTTGGTATTGTTCAGCTGAATCACATACACAAGTGGTTCCAGGAAATTAAAAGGCAAATCACAGGTGGGGCACAGTGGTTCACGCCTGTAATCCCAGCACTTTGGGAGGCCAAGGTGGGCAGATCACAAGGTCAAGAGATCGAGATCATCCTGGCCAACATGGTGAAACCCCTTCTCTACTAAAAATACAAAAAAAATTAGCTGGGCATGGTGGCTCGTGCCACTGCACTCTGGCCTAGCAACAGAGTGAGATTCCATCTCAAAAAAAAAAAAAAAAAAGGCAAATCACTTTTAGGCTTCCTAAACAAAGAAGGAAGGAGCATCAACTACCCTCTCTCTATTTTCATTAAATGGCTCCCCTAATCACCAGTTGCTCAGGTCAAATACCTTATAGTCATCTTTGAGGCATCTTTATCACATACCCCTAATCCTGTTTAATAGCAAATCTTCAAAATATTTAGTATATACAGAAACCAAGTATAACTCACCACTTTCAACACTACCACCCTGTCTAAGCCACTATCTTCTTTTACCTGGACTATGTCAAGGGTTTCTTAACTGCTTTCATTCTACCTGGCAGTCTCTTTCCCCAAATATCCATGGTTTACTCTCTCAAGTTTCTGTTCAAATGTCATCTCATCATAGAGGATCTTCTTCCCACCTTTCACCTGCTCATTACCCTCTATTTTCCAACCTACATTATTTTATTCACTACAATTAACACTATCCATCATTGTATTACATATCTACCCTAGTTTAGTTCATGTTCTCTCTTCCCCACTAGAGTGTAGGCTTAATGATAACACGGACCTTACCTATTTTGTTCAACTACTGTATCCTCAGCCCCAAAAAACAATTCGTGACACATAGAAATCACCTTATCGATAAAGAATGAATGGATGAATTCTCCAGTCTCTAGTTTCTGGGAAACATATTTTTATGGTCTGAGTATATTTTCCTTTTAGAATAGTTGCAGTTTGAGTACAGATATGGTATTAATGGATCTTCCATGAAATGATTAGATCTTCATCTTTCTTACTGATAAGTAAGCTTGATTCTTTTCAGTGGTCTAGCTCCTTCAAATACATGGCATTAACATTTTAAAGTTATTTTACTTTAATTTATTTCCACTAAGATCCAAGGAGAAAATCAGAGGGCTTTATCATTAGTAGCTTGGCTGCGTCTTTTTATTTAGGGAGTCATTTTTGCAATATGAGAAATCAAAACATCTTTATAGTTAGGTCTCATGGATCAGAAAAATGTCATCTTCAGTTCACTGGGTATTTTAAACTAAAATATACACTTCAAGCTAAACATAGGCAATATGACTTTTATATATATTTATAAAAGAAAATAATTCTCAAAATAATATTCCTTAAGAAAAATTATCCTACATGATATGATACCTGCTTTCCTTCTTTGTTGCTCTCCATTAAAGGTGAGAAAATCTCAAATAAATCTTGAGGAAATAAAATGTACACATTTATTTATTCAATGTCAATCCTTAGTACAAGACTCAAGATGCTACCTCTCCCCTCCCTCTAAGGCTCCAGATTGGGTAACCACAATTATCAGGAAGGGGTTGTTTTCTCCTTTCACTCTGTCATCGGTTCTGAATTTACATTTTACTGGGCTCTGTCAGGTATAGTGCAGCAGATGGCAAGTGGAATCCAATTAGTGATGTCTTGCAAATTCTGTCAAGACTCTTCAATTAAGGTTGTTTTGTTGAAAAGCTATTGGATGAGTGTTGGCTCTGTTCACAGGCAAAAGGAATCAGCAGCACTGGTCCTTATTTGACATGACTCAAATCTTCCCGAATGGAAACAGACTTTTTCCCATGGGCATTTGTTGAAAAAAATTAGAGGCAATTGCTAAACATCATGGGTCTCCCAGATAGTAGAAAACTGTTGGGCAACCAATGGGCAAACCACCGAACTTAAAACTAAAAGGTGAGGGGAAAATGTCCACAGGGAGATTTTGAAAGCTCTAAAATATTTCTAGAAACCTGCATGCATAGGGTTGTATGTACACTCAGGGCTATGTGCATGCTCAGGAAAGACCTAAAAAGGCCCTGAGCTCTCAATCCTGACAAACCTTGAGGTTCTGAACAAGCAGGAAGTGAAGATTAAAGAAGAGATGTAAACTGTCTGACTGAGTGTTGAAGGCATGCCCAGACATCAACAGTAGGTTCCCTAGCAAACGCTATGAGACTTATTAGTTACAGAATACTAAGAAACTCTGTCTAATCATTAGAAGACCACTAAGCTAGCCAAGCAAAGACTTTAATGGCTGCACATGACAAGAACATAGACTTTACGGATTACTTCAAGAAGTCACTAAACAAACAACAATAAATCCTGGGTTTGGGGAAGAATCTGATTTCCAGAATTGCAACATTATGTATTTAAAATTTCTACTTTTCAGCAAAAAATTTATGAGATATTAAAAAAACAAAAAAGCATAGGCTATACACAGAAAATATAACAGCTAATAGAAACTATCCTTGTGGAAGCCCAGATATTGAACTTACTGTCTAAGACTTAAATAAGCTATTATGCATATGTTTAAGGAACTAAAAAGAGAGAGAAAAACAGGTCTGAAGAACTAAAAGAAAGTATGAGAATGATGTCTCAGCAAATAGAAACTATCATTAAAAAACAAAAATTTTACAAAATAATCAAATATAATTTCTGGAATTCAAAAGTACAATACCTGAAATTTACAAATCACTACAGATCCTCAACAGAAGTTTTGCGCAGACAGAAAAAGTATTCAGTGACTGGAAGGGGTTATCCACTTTCAAGAATAGAGAGAAGAAAGGATCTAAAAAATTAACAGAGTCTCAGACACCACTGGGACACCATCAAGCATACCAACATACATCTAATAGGAGTTCCAAAATAAAAGGGGAAGCAATAGAGAGACAAAGAGACAGAACGAACAAATAGTTAAAAAAAAGTAATGGCTGAAAACTTCCTAAACTTAGTGAAAAACATTAATCTAATCTACACATCCAAAAATCTCATCAAACTCCAAGAAAGATAAACTCAGGGTCCACACCTAGACATGTAATAACCAAAATATCAAAAGACAAAGAGAATTTTGAAAGCTACAAGACAGAATTGACTAATGCTATACAAGAAACCTACAATGAAATTAATAACTAATTTTTTTTTCAGAAACTGTGGAGACCAGAGTCAGTGAGATGATATACTCAAAGTACTAACACAAAAAGACTGAACATCAAGAATTCTATACTTAGCAAAACTATTTTTTAACGGAGAAATTAATTTGTTTCCTAACAAAGAAAATAATAAGAGAATTTATTGCTATGAAATCTGCTGTACAAGACACACTAAAGGGAAGGCTTCAGGCTTAAATGAAAAGACACTAGACAGTAACAAGAATCCACATTTAAAAAATCACTGATAAAGTTAATACATACGTAAATATAAAAGGCATTGTATTTTTAATTATAAAATTTCTTCCCTGATTTAAAAAACAATGGCATAACCTGTAATTATAAACTGTGTTGATGTGTCTACAATATATGAAGACGTATTTTATATGATAATAGCACAAAGAAAGGGGAAGGAAATGAAGCTATATAATGGCATATTTTGTACACTATTGCAATTAAGTTTGTTTTAATCTGACTAGATTGTTATATATCAATATTATAAATCCCCAAGGCAGTTATAAAAGAATTCAAAAAATACTATAAAACTAATGAAAACAAATTTAAATAGTGCCTTGAATATTTATTAACTCAAAAGAAATAAGAGAGGAATGAAAAAACAACAAAAAACACATAGAAATATGGAAAACTGATAGCAAAATGACATACATAAAACCTTTTTTAAAATCAGTAATTATATTAAATGTAAATGGATTAAACAATTCAATCTAAAGATTGAGATTAGAATGGATTTTTTTAAAGTGTTCCAACTACAAGCTGGCTATAAGAGATATACTGTGAATTCAAAGACACAATGGGTTAAAAGAAGGAAAAGAAAACACCATGCAAACAGTAACCAAAAGAAAGACAGAGTGGCTATAGGACTATCAGACATAATGTACTTTAACTCACAAACAGTTACAAGAAACAAAGAAGGACATTAAATAATGATAAAGGGTTAATTCATCAAGAAGCTAGATTGTAAATATGTGCACAACTAATAACAAAGCACCATCATACATGAAGGAATAACTAAAAGAAATGAAGTAAATAGACAATTCACCAAAAATTGTTGGAGATTTCAGTTCCCCACTTTCAGTAATGGATAGAACAACTAGACACAGAATCAAAAAGGCAACATAAGATTTGCATAACAATATGAAACAAGTAGATTAACAGACATCTATAGAACACTTGGTCCAACAAAAACAGAAAGCACATTTTTCCCAAGTGCACACATTCTGTAGAGTAGATCACATGGTTGGCCATAAAACAAGTTTTAATAAATTTAAATGATTTAAATCATACAAATATATTATTTGACCAAAACCAAAATAAATTAGATACCAATAGCAGAGGGAAGTTTGGGAAATTTATAAGCACATGGAAATTAAACAATGCACTCCTAAATAATGAATGAGTCAAAGAAGAAATTACAATATAAATTAGAAAATACTTTGAAATTAATAGAAATGAAAACACAGCATACCAAACCTTATAGGATAAAACAAAAGCAGAAAAAATACATATTTGTAAATGCCTGTATTAAAAGAGATTATTTTAAAACATAACAATCACAAATCAATAATCTAGCCTTTTATATTAAAAAACTAGAAAAGAAGAGGAAAACCTGAAGCAAGCAGAAGAAAAGAAACAATAAAGATTAGAAGAGAAATACATAAAATACAGAATAGAAAAACAATAGAAAAGTCAAGGAACTAAAAGTTGGTTCTTTGAAAACTGATAAACCTTTTTGTCAAACTGACAAGGAAAAAAAGGAAGAAAAGATGTAAATTATTAAAAGGAGAAATGACAGAGGGAACATTACTAATGACCTTACTGAGGCTGTAAAGAAATACTACGAATAATTTCATGCCAACAAATAAGAAAACCTAGATGAAATGGACAAAAAGTTAGAAAGACACAATTTACCATACCTGACTGAAGAAGAAATAGAAAATATTAAATTGAAATAGACCTATAATAAATAAAAGATTGAATTATTAATCAACAAAGCTCTCACAAATCAAAGCTGAAGACCAAGTATAGGACTTCACTGGTGAATTCTGCATGGCCTCAGTGGTGAATTCTACCAAGCGTTTAAGGAAGAATTAAAACCAATCTTTCACAAAACTTTCCAAAACATACATAAGAAGGAAACAATTTTCAACTCATTCTGTGAGTCCAATATTAGCCGGGTAGCAAAACCAAAGATATCATGGGAAAAAAGCTACAGAACAGTGTCCCTGATAAATATAAGCCCAAAATGCTCAAGAAAATACTAGCAAATCAAATCTAACAACTTATAAAAAAGATTATATATGTAGTTCACAAACAAGTGGGATTCATCTCAGGATTGGAAGGTTTGTTCAATGTATGTAAATCCATCAATGTAATACACCATGTTAACAGAATAAAAGACAAACACAATCATCTCAAGAGCTACTGAAAAAACGTTTTATAAAATCCAGCATATGTTCATAATAAAAACATGTTAAAAAAAAAAAAACTAAGAAGGGAACTTCTTCAACCTGATAAACCCACAGCTGTTATTTTACTTAATGATAAAAGACTGAAAATTTTCCTGCCAAGATTTGGAATGAGCCAAGGTTGTCTGCTTTTACCACATCTATTCAACATTGTATTGTGGATCCTAGCCAGAGAAATTATGCAAGAAAATGAAATTAAAAGCATCCAGATAGGAAAGGAAAAAGTAATACTATCTTTATTTGCAAATGATACAATCTTGTATACAGAAAATCCTAATTAATCTACAAAAAATTAGAGGTAATAAACTAGTTCAGCAAGTTTCCAGAATTAAGATTAATGCACAAATATCAATTTATTTACATACATCAGCAATGAACAATCTAAAAATAAAATTTAAAAGCCAAGTTTACTTACAATAGCATTAAAAAGAATAAAATACTTAGGAATAAATTTAACCAAAGAAGTGTAAGGTTTTTACACCACAAAAGACAAAACATTATTGAAAGAAATTAAAGAGCACTTCAACAAATGTAAGATATCCTGTACTCATGAACTTGAAGACTTGATATTAAAATGGCACTACTTCCCAGATTGATCTACAGTTTCAACACAATCTCTATCATAAGTCCATCTGGGTTTTTTTATTTTCAAAATTTGACAAGCTAAGCTTAAAATTCACATGGAAATGAAAAGAACAAGGAATACACAAAGCAGTATTGAAAAAGAATGAATCTGGAGGACTCACACTTCCGAATTTCAAAATCAAAGTTACAATTATCAGAGCAGTATGATACTGTAATAAAGATAGACATAGATCAATGGAAACAGAAGTGAGAGTCCAGAAATAAACCCATATATTATTGATCAAATCATTTTCTACAAGGATGCCAAGACAATTTAATGAGGAAAAAATAGCCTTTTCAACAAATGGTGCTAGGAGAACAGAATATCCATACATAAAACAGTACATTTGGACCTTCACCTCAAGTAACACATGAAAATTAACCCCAAAACAATTATAGATCTAAATGTAAGAGCTAAAATTATAAAACTCCTAGAAGAAACATGACAATAAATCTTGGTGACCCTGGGTTAGGGTATGGTTTCTTAGATATAACATCAAAAGCAAAATCAATTAAAAACACAGATAAACTGAATTTCATCAAAAGTAAAAACTATTGGGTATCACAGGACACTATCAAGAAAGTGAAAAAGACACCCCACAGAATGGGAGAAAATATTTTCTTATACTCAATAATACAAACAATCCAATCAAAGGCTAGGTAAAATATTTGAATAGACATTTCTCCAGATAGGATATACAAATCACCAATAAGCTCATTACAAGATGTTCAACATCATTAGTCATTAGGTAAATGAAAATCAAAATTACAAAAAGATACCATTTCATACCCACTCCGATGGCTAAAATATAGAAAATGACAAGTGTTGGAGGGAATGTGGATCAATTGAAACTCATATATATTGCTGGTGAAATATAAAGTGGTTCAGCCACTTTGAAGTAGGTTTGTAGTTCCTTAAAGTGTCAAACATATAGTCCCCATATGACCCAGCACCATATGATCCGACAATTCTACTCCTGGATATATATCCAAGAGAACTAAAAATATATGTCCACATAAAATCTTGCACATGGATGTTTATAGCAGCATTACTCCTATCAGTCAGAAAGAGGAAACAAGCCAAATGTCCATCAACTGATGATGAATAACAAATGTGGTATCCCCATACAATGGAATATTATTGAGCCATAGAAAGAAACAAAATAGTGATGCATTCAACACCATAGATGAAACCTTGAAAACCTTGTGCTGAGTGAAAGAAGGCAGACATAAAAGGCCATACATTATATCATACCATTTATATGAAACACCCAGAATAGAAAAATCCGTAGACATGGGAAGCACATTAGTGATTGCTGGGGACTGAGAGGAGAGGAAAACAGGGAAGGATGGTTAACAGCTTTCTTTTGGGGAGATGAAAATTGTACTGGAATGAGCTAGTGGTTGTACCAATTTGTGAATATGTTAAAAACCACTTTACCCACTTGAAATAACTGAATAGCAATGGTATATGAATTATATCCTGATTTTTAAAATGTAATTGCAAACATTATGAAAACTACATTTCATATTCCAAATAGTCCATACATTAGCCCCTTAATTACCAAAGTTTTACTCTTTCAGCATATGGCTACCTATTTCCATACTAGAACTTGGGATAACCTATTCTTAACTTTCCAGTTTCTTGTGTGAATCTGCAACTTTCATTTTTAGAAGTCAACCACAATTTATTAGCAAGTTCTCTAAAACCTAATGATTATCAAGAAGCCATGAGACACACATAAAGACTCCCTCCACAAACCTGTGCATCATAAAAGGAATTTCCAGGAATGACTCCAACCGCCAGCCTCATAAAGCTCTCAAGTCCCACCTCTGTGATGAACAGGTATCTGTCTATTCTTTAGAAGAAGGAAATAGCACCATTTTCTCCAGTTGTCCATTTTGTCTGGCAAATCAGCAGGACCACAAACCCAGGAATTCTTCAGCTTTCACACAACATAAAAATAGCTCAGATTGGCAACTGACAAGCTCTTTCAGTAACCAAGAGAGTCACACCTGTAAAGCTGCTAGGTATTCACAGGTGACTTCCCTGATGCTATGATGTGATGTTAGTTAATTTGATCTCACTGAAGAAGGAGGAACAACAATTCCCTGCTCCCTTCATTTATATAACAATAGAATGTTTCTGCTGCTCACTTGAAACTGTGTCTACTGACTGCTAACCAGGTCACTACTTTCACTTACCTTGTTGGCAGTTTAAGATGGCATAATGATTTATTTACAATTTAAAACTTTAGTTTCCTTTAATGCATTTAAAATGTATACCTCCTACTAGCTGAATCCATGCTTAAAACCTCATTCTATGGGACCAGTCCAGAATTGAACTGTAATACTAATTAGTAGAGGATGCATTACCTGTTTGCTATTCTGCGATAAATAACCTCAAGTCAATGTACAATCCTCCTTTCAGACTGAATCAGCAGACTTTAAAGCTCCTACCAGGCAACCTCTTTGTGGTAATCCTTTCCACAGATTTGATTCTTGCTTTGGAAACTCTTCTTCAACTTCTAAAATATTTCTTTGTCTAAGCCCAGCTTTCCTGGTTCCATTACACTTCGTTCGAAATTGCATAGCCACAGACCCCAACCCTTCTCAAACCCATATTATTCTTTTCTCCAGAATCCCAGCCTAGCCAGAATCCCCAGGCCTCCCACTTCTTGAGGAGAGATTAGACAATTCTCAGAATTAACAATAGCGTGTTTTTCTATGCCAGGCAAAAATTATCATTATTCCCTTTGCTGATAACTGTTGGTTGTCAAGTATCTTTGTGGTTATAATTGTGTCTAACTATAATATTTTTACTAAATAAGAACTTTGTTTCTCTGCATAAGGAGAGGTCCCTCTACTCCCTCCATTTAAAATATTAGAGAGGATGAGCTCAGAGCTGTAATCCATTTCTGGTCAGAATGTGGAATTGGGTAAAGAAGTATATCTGTGTCACTCTTCATGGGCAGGTGGTCTAGCACACAGGCCGTTTCTGTAGATAGATACATGTTGCACCAAATCCCCTTTTCTATTTCTCTTCAAAAAGCAGGTGTGTGCTAACTGCCTCATGGTCATATTCCTTAGGAGAAGAGTAATACGGAAAGGAAAATTCAGGCCTGTACTTTGGCAATTGGCAAGTGATCCATACTTTTTAAAACCCCTTTAAGAAGCCCTTCTAGTTTCCTGCCTTCACTGCTCATAGTTTTATATAAAATGTCAAATATGGGAATTTCCTTTCCTTTTCCTAAATTGATGATGATTATTCTCACCAGTATCTTGTAAATAGGCCTTGCTATTCTCCAAAATTGCAGGGATGTATGAAGACTTTAAAAAATTATGGGTATAGAAATATCTTAAACAATAAAAGGATTATACACATACCAAGTAATATTGTCATTCCATTATTACAGGGTTTCCATCTACTCATAATGTCATTTTCTAAGCCCAGTAATCAATCAAATCATGTGACAAATCTGGGAGAAAAATATGGTAACATAGTGAACATCTGGTTCAAATTTCTTGCCAATAGGTGAGAAACACTCTTGTCATAGAGGAAAATTTTTGTGTTAATTCTGATTCTAAATCACTCCATTTTATTGAAGAAGCATGTATGGTGCAACCTCTGTACCAGGCACTCAAATGAGTATTTAGTACCTGTCATGGTACTAAGACATAATCCCAAGAAGTCTACTGTCTAGTTATTGAAGCCTGCCAACCAAAACCATAAATATGTGAAGGAGATAAAACCAAGATATGGAAGCAATTAATTCTGAATTGGGGGTCAATTATAAAGAGGAAAGCAGACAGCCATTTATAATTATAAGTTAATGTGTTATGTCTCCCTGGGATATTTCTAATTATGAAATGAAGGACCCTATCTTCTGTTAATAGAATTTCCAAAGTCTATAAAATCTTAATGGAAAAAAATTTTGTTTAAATGTAGAAGATTGAATATAGGCACTCATTCATTATACCTCCAAGAAACCCCCTCCAAAATTACTGTAAGGAATTTTAGAAATATTTATAAATCTTCAGACACAAAGAAAATAGCAAAGGAGGATGATAACAGACAAGAAATATCTAAATATTGAGAGACTGAAAGCAGATGGTGTAGCGGTATGTGATTTAGCAGTTCAGAGATCCCTCAAACTTATGTGCCAAAAGGAAGCAAGGCAATTTACATGAGAAAAAGGTCAGGAACTGGGTGCACCAGGTAGCTCTGAATGTGAGACTTACAGAAAATTTCCAGACACAGAAGGATTGTTTGAAAGTCTGCATTAGGAACAATCAGATCCCGAGTCCCATACTCCAGGTTATATGACTAAGCAATATCCCCTCCCACTCCAGTTCAGAAAATGGGAGATTTATTCCCAAATGATGGGGCCCCAGGTCCCTAACCTAGGGGCATGGAACACAGCTGAGGGAAGGGTGAGGTCCCATAATAAAAACAGGAGGACACATTTCAGTGAAAATAAACAGAAATGTTTTGAAAATTATCAAACGGAAAAGCCACATTCTCTTCAAAGCAATGGCAATTATATTGTGAGTAGATTTAAGAGTAGTAACAATAAATAATTGAAAGCAACAGAGAAACATTTCAAAGAGCTGAGGGAAGACAATTTTTAAATTAGAATTTTGGAACTGGATACAGTATCATTCCAATGAAAATGAAATAAAGACATTTTCAGACATGAGGTTTAGAATTCTTGTAAATTAGTAGTAAAGAACTACTAAAGGATGTACTTTAGAAAGAAGCAAAAAAGGCACAGAGAAGGGAAGCGAGATGCAAAATTTATATAACTACTGAATATAAAATAGCTGACTTTCTTTGCTTCAAATAAGTCTTATTAAAATTAAAAACAATATCACAGAAGATGAGAAAGAGTGTTTGATGGCTAGATAAGTCAGCTTTGCTAATGTCCTCATCTCAATTGGGAAGGTATAGAGATATTGCACAACTTTAGATAACATAAGAAACAAAATATAAAGATTTATTTTAGATTGTGGTAGTCATTTCACACTGTATATGTATATCAAAACATCATGTCGTACACCGTAAGTATATTCAATTTTTATTTGTCATTTATACTTCATTAAAACTGGAAGGGAAAAGATGCATTTTTAAAATGCATTAATGCTCTATACTGCTGAAATACTGGAAATGTTTTATTTCTTGTATGACAGTTACATGAATGTTAATTTTGTGATCATTCATTTCTGTCATGTACAATTGTATGTATGTACATTGTATTTTGTTATTTTTGAATTAAAGCAAAATCACCAAAATAATAAAATATAATTAGTAGCTTCCAAACTGGCAAAAGGGAAAAAAAATACATTGTTAAAAAGTGTATAATCCAAGGAAGGTATCAAAAATGAATATTAAAAGGAAGTTAAAAAATGATGTTAAATAGCACAAAATGAGATGGAAAAAATTAATCCAAATACAGGAATGCTCACAATAAATATAAAATTAAAGTAATCTATTAAAAGACACTACTATATATTGGATCTTTTAAAAAAGCTATATCATCTCTGCTGGATGCATACTTAAAACAGATTATCAGAAAAACACTGTGTATTAATCAATTTTCACACTGCTATAAAGAATACCTGAGACTGGGTGATTTACAAACAAAAGAGGTTTAATTGACTCACAGTTCCACATGGCTGAGGAGGCCTCAGGAAACTTATAGTCATGGTACAAGGCAAAAGGGAAGCAGGTACTTTCTTCACAAGGTGGCAGGAGAGAGAGAGCAAGTGTGAAGGAGGAACTGTCAAAGATTTATAAAATCATCAGATATTGTGAAAACTCATTCACTATCATGAGACCAGCATGGGGGAAACCGCCCCCATGATCCAATCACCTCCCACCAGGTCTGTCCCTCAACATGCCGGGATTATAAGGATTACAATTTGTGATAAGATCTGGATAGGGACACAGAGCCAAACTATATCAGGTTGAAAATTTAAAAAAAAGACTCAATAGGCATATTTTTACCTGGTGTAGCAATACTAGTATTGGGGGTGAAATAGAATTGAGGGCAAAAACATGGAACAGGATAAAATAGTTCCAAGGAGATATAATATTGGGATATTTTTATAAACATCCTTCAGAGATACAGATCAAATAGGAAAAAAAAAGAAAAAGCAAGATAAAAAAATCTACATAATACATCAAAAAACCTTGATCTTAAAAAATTATATACCAAACAGAGAAGATGCATACTTTTATACCATATATTGAATATTTATTAAAAATGTTCTCATGCTATGTCAAAAATAAGACTCACTACATTTCAAAAAATTACTGTAGAGACCAGGTTGTTTAATCAAAATGGAATTGAATTAGAAATCAAGCATCACCTTAAAAGTTATAAGAACAGCGTTCCAACAATAGTTACCTCTACCATGACCTTCTGGCATCAAAAAACAGAATCTATCAATTTATGGGTTAAAGAAATGATGGAAGTTATAAAATGTAGAAATATAAGAAAATAATGCTTATCAAACTACTTTTGTAAGGTTTTTTAATCAAATTTTTATAAGGTTTTTTTAATGAAATTTCTTTTATAAGGTTTTTTTTTTAAAAAAAAGATAGAGGTATTTAAAAAAAAATACCTTTCACAGAAACTGATAGATCAAGCTGGAAAAAAACGACATTAGAGTTTCGTTTTGTTTTGAATTTTAGAAATTTTCTTGGAATGGGGTGTGTTTGTTTGCTTTTAATTAAAGAAGAATTTAATAAAAATTTCTATATAAACATTGTAAATTAGCCATACACAAGCATTAAAAGTTAACCAAAGACATCAAAGAAAAAATACAAAAGCAGAAACAGAGAAAGAGAGAGAAAGAAAGAAAGCGAGAGAGAGAGAGAGAGAGAGTGAGCGAGACAGACGGAGCGCACTAGGGGGCAGGTAAAACTGATGCCAGGTTCAGGATGTTGCAATTTTGGTGAAGCAAGGATGAAAATTGGATTGTGAATGGATTCAAAGGGGGCTTAAATCTTTATCTACAATATGTTATTTATTTAAAAAAAAAACCCTGAAGCAAATACGTAAAAATGTTAAACTTTGTTAAATATTAGCATTAAGTGTAAGTGTGTTCCTTACATATCCTTTGCACATTACTTGATGTGTGAATTATTTAATAAAACAAAACAAACACATGAGTAATAATGGCTCCTGATATACCTGTATAAAAATAATCACTATCTAGACTTATTTTTTAAAGGTCAATGTTCTAGAGTAAAGGATGACATCTTCTTTTCAAGCAAGGATAGTTCTAAATAAAAGTACTAACTGAAAAATGCTGAGTCAGAGTTTATGATTAAACAAAAGTAAATAAACTGCTCATGTTTTTAAGTCATGAGCCTGATCGGTAGGTGATAATAAGTTAGGTCTGAAGAGACTGTCAAGATTAGGTTGACTGAGGAGAAAGTTGAGTTCCTCAACCCAGACTGGAGACATCAACACTCTAAGCACACCATCATCCTGCAGATCATACAAAACCAGCATGGGAAGAGCCAGTGAGGGGAAAGAATAATGATACTCCATAGTCAACTTTCTTATGTTGAGGTGTGACCATAAGAAAGAACAGAACCACCTACAAAATTCTACACTTTATAAGAAAAATCTTCTAGGAGGGAGGAGATTAGCTGTAACCATAAGGGTAATTTTAATGTGCCACAGACATGTCAAATGAAACTTGTCTAAGATAAAACAGGTCACCTTCTGTTACAAACATGACCCCACATCAACCATGCCTCATATTAACCACATAATAAAGTAGATAGATTAGAATCACTTTATAGCCAGGACCTCAATTATCTTTGGAAGAAAATACTCTTGATAAACACTTAGAGTAGAAGATGACTCATCTCCCACCTCTTACCCCATGCTCCAACGTCACAAGGACTGAGATGTCAGTGAGCGTCAAGGGTTCAGAAATGAAGGAAGAACCAGTATGCCTGCGAAAGGGAGAGGTTTGGGAAAGAGATTTGTGGCTCCAGAAAAGGAGTAAAGAGGATGAGAAAAGAAAGGAGAATGGAAGGATAGAGTGAAGAGAGGAGCCATGCACTGATATGAAGCTAAACAGTCTAAATAGTCGGGGCAGTCAGGGGAGGGGGAAGTGGGCAAGGGGATGTTTGAGTGTAGGACTGTAAAGGAAGTAATTTTTCAAGCTTTCTTTCGTGGAAGACCATAAGCTCTTCACTGGAGTCGATGATGTTTAGAGATGTGTCTGTGTGTGTTTTGCAGGGACAAGTGAAGGGAAGTTTTACATATGGATAAATATTGTGCAAAAACCCACAGCATTACGGAAGAAAGTGTGTGGACTGAAATCATGAGAACTTAAGCTTCATGAAATCTTGAAAATGTTGGGGAAGACTCAGACCTCCAAAAGTGAGGAATGTGAGATCAAGACCCAATTATTCTGGCTCTCAATGGGCCAAGAGATGCCACCTGACAAAAGGTTGTCCTTCTCTGTAAATGATGCCACTGTCCTTGGGCATGCTCTCCCCTTCATCTTTCACATTTTACCAGTTTACCTTCTCCTATGTGTCTTCTAAATGTCTCTCCATTCTCTTCTTTCAACCCCTTTTCCTCCGAAATACTCCTCCATTTGTAGCCTCCATCTGATGGAGGTTTCAGTCTACCATCTACCCAGCCCCCAAACAAGAAAGTGAGTGGCATTTATATCCATCTCTTTCTAAAACACGTGATCACCGTGTTGTCTCTCTTTACCTCCTGAATGTTTTTTTGTATGTGTTTTTGTTTGTTTGTTTGTTTGTTTCTGAGGCAGAGTCTCACTCTGTCACCAGGCTGGAGTGCAGTGGCATGATCTCAGCTCACTGCAACCTCCCCCTTCCAGGTTCAAGTAATTCTCCTGCCTCAGCCTCCTGAGTAGCTGGGACTACAGGTGTGCACCACCATGCCCAGCTAATTTTTGTATTTTTAGTAGAGGTGAGGTTTCGCCATGTTGGCCTTCGGCCAGGATGGTCTGGATCTCTTGACCTCGTGATCTGCCCACCTCAGTCTCCCAAAGTGCTGGGATTACAGGCGTGAGCCTATAATCCTGGCCTATATCTATCTCTTTCTAAAACCCCTGATCACCATGTTGTCTCTCTTCACCTCCTGAATGTTAGTCCTACCGCATCTCCACTTTTACCATACTACTTCAAGCTTCTACCTCCTATGACCTTGAAATTGCCTTTCCCTGATCTTCTTCTTCCCTTCTACACTACCCTCAAAATAATCTTTCTTAAGTATTTATTTTATCTTAACACACACTTGCTTAAAACTCATCAATGGTTTCCTATTTCTTTTATCATAAGGCCCAGTCCTAGCATATCCTACAGTTTCACTTTCTTTTTTTTTCTTTTTTTTTTTTTCTTTTTTTTGATAGAGTCTCGCTCTTTCACCCAGGCTGGAGTCCAGTGGTGTGATCTCAGCTCACTGCAACCTCCGCCTCCCAGTTTCAAGCAATTCTCCTGCCTCAGCTTCCCATGTAGCTGGGATTACAGATGCACATCACCACACCCAGCTAATTTTTGTATTTTTAGTAGGGATGAGGTTTCACCATGTTGGCCACACTGGTCTTGAACTCCTGACCTCAAGTGATCCACCCACCTTGGCCTCCCTTTGCTACTCCTATGAGCCATACTGATCCATTTGCAGTTCTCTGTTCATAGTCCTTCAAATTTTGAACATGTGACTCCGTGGGCTGCCCCCTCCTACTTCGTGGACAAGTCTCAATCACCTTACAGATGCTACCACCTCTGAGAAGTTTCCCTAAATATAGGTCAGCACTTTTCTTCTATATGCTTGCATCACTCCATGTTCATCTTCATCATAGCTTCACTCATAATGAGTTATAATTCAATTTATACAAATTTCCCTCACTATTCTAGGAGCACTTTGAGGGTAGGGATTGTGTTATCTTTAAGTCTCCATCTCTCATCCAAAAATGAAGGTAAAATCAACTTTCAAGGGCTATTGTGAGAACCAAGATAAATCATGAATGTGTAGTATTAGGCCAGTGTCTGGAATAACATTTTTTATAAATATAATTTCCCTTCTATTTTCTGTACTCCCATTCTTTCACTATGCTCCACGCCCCCCACCCCCCACACACAGCCAGAACTTAGCTAGGGCTTAAAACTGAGCATAACATCACTAAATATATTCTGAAGAATGACTAAAAATATCATTAATTTTTTTCCAGTGCTTTAGAGTTTGTGCAATGCTTTTACTCATAATGGCTTGTTTAATCATCAGTTTAAACATATCCCCTCTTCTTCACCCACCCTATCCAATCAACCTCTCTACCCCTAATGATTTCTTTACTGATTCTAAAAACCATACCCTTTCTTTCTGTCCCTTCTGTCACAGATCTAGTCTGTCTCTTTCCTGGAAGCTGTAAGAATTATCTCTTAACTTTAAAACTCTCTTCTGTTGGACTAGTGCCTTATACACTAGCCAAAGTGATCAAAAGTGCACTGTAATTGCTGTACCACATCCCTGCCTGAAAGCCTCACAGAATTCCCAGAGCTCTCTGGATAGAGTCAGAAAGGATCCCTTAGCAAGGCCTACAAGGCCTCTCATGACCTGGTCCTCACATGCACCTCCAGCCACATAGGCTGCCACCGTATGCTTTTCTCTTTATGACCAAATACTGCCAAACATTTTGGGACTTTCCACATATACCATGCTGTTTCGCACACCCTTGCTTCCTGTCATGCTATGGTCCCCATCTGGATAACCCTTCTCTTCTACCCTGGCTTAATGACACTAATTTCCCTGGACCCTCAGACTGAGAAAAATACCCTCTTCTGTATCCCTGTAAAACTCACATAGAATCCCACATGCTCCATACCAAATTATATAGAACTCGTTCTTATATGTGTCTGACTTCTCAATTCACCCTAGCCACTTAAGGAGAAATAAATATATTTTTGTATAACCACAGTGCTAGACAAAGAGCCTAGAAAGAGTAAATGCTCAATAAAATTCTGTCAGTAGAAATGGAATAGAAGTGAATTTAGTGAGGCTGGTGATACAATCATCATCTAGATTTCCTAGAGGAAGAGACTGAAGCTCACAGAAGTTACAGAACAAATTGGCAAGAGACTTGGAATCTGTTAAGTGGTGGGAGATGTGGCTGGAATCCACATTCTCTTATTTCTAAGTCTATGTTGTTTTAATACAGCAGGTGCCACTGAGAAACAATATTTCAGTATTCTCTTTATTTGCATGACTTCACTTTAATCATGAAGTCACTTAACCAGTTTGCATTCGGTTTCCTAATCTATAGCTCAGTGATAAAAACAGCAAGGCTAAATGGCAGCTGCCAAGATAAAGAGGCAGATTGCAAATCCTCATGTTGGACTTGTTCTAGAACATTGGTATTGTCATGCAGACAAATTAAAAGTAACTGCCTGTAAAAAAAAATAATCTCAACTTATCAAAGTAAATAAGCATCCAAAAGCAAAAATTTCCCCACAACTAACCAGATATCTCATGACCTCCTGCCCGTGTGAATGACAAAATCTTCAGAGGCTGCAAAAACAAGAGGAACCTTTCGTTCTAACGAGCAGAGGTTTACAAATGGATTCATCAGAGGAAATTGCTAAAATGCCTACAGGTACAAGAGGTCCCATATGTTCCATCTACTTATGGATCCAGCAGGGAAAAATTAAGCTCTCAGAGTGAAGGCAGCGTGCACACACTGCAGGGATGATGAAAGAGCAAGGGGAGGGACCCATACCTAATTATGTTACTTTCAGCAGAGCTGCATCTGGAGTAACTTCTCAAGTGTAAAGATAACAGAAAGTACGAGATAAGGAAGAAGGCTAAGATGGCTCAGCGGGACGTCATAGCTGCCTTGTGGGAAAATGGGCCCTCCGAAGCACTTTATGTTGAGCTGTTTGAGGTAACACAAGGCAACCTGAGTGTGAAATCCTGGGTACTCCAGTATGCCTTTACCCATGCATCCACTGAAGAGGATAATTTTATGTTTTATATACTGCTCCACTTTTCCTGCCTGCTGTTTCTTTTTAAGCACATAACTTTGGTCACTGATCAGAAAATACCACCCAGCTATCAAGAAGAGTTTCAAAGGCAGGCAGACTTTCTCTAGCTTTCTTGGCATCCTAAAAAGTGAGATGTGCCCCCTGCTGAACGAATGTCTCTTAATCATCTAGACCAGAGGTCAGCAAACTTTTTCAGTCAAGGGCAAAATCGCAAATGTCTTGGGCTTTACAGGCCTGACCATCTCTCACAACTAGTTAGCTCCGCTATTGTCAAGATAAAGCAGCAACATGAACAAGTATGGCTGTGTTCTGACAAAACTTTATTTACCAAAATAGGGGATAGGACAGATTTGGTTCGTGGGCCACAGTTTACTGACCCCTGATATAGACCCGAATGCCAGATAGAAGATAATATATCTCATCATCTATGCCATTGCTCCTTCTGGTTTTATTCTCAGAATTAAATTAGTTGCTTATTTATATGTTTTCTGGCTCATTGACAGAAGTGCAGGAAAAAAATGACAACTTACCAATAGTCACATCAAGTCAGATGATATATGTGGAAATACTTGGGAAAATTTTACAAATATAGGGCACTATCATTAGCGCAAGCAGATCCAAACAGATTTGACAGTTCATTCATTCATTCACACTGTTCATTGCCTAGGCATATTTTTATGCCAGGCACTGTGCAAGACCCTGCAAATATAAAAGCAAATGGAAGGCTCCTTATCATAAGGAGATTTTGGTCTAGTCCCAAAGGCAAAGATGCCAGGGCAGTGCAGTGCCAGGGCTTATCACTGTAGCCAAATAATGGTTTAGACTCTTGCAGATATACTTTCCTTTCTTGGCCTCTTTTATTAATATCTTCTCCCCTTAGCTCCTGCAGCCCTTCTGCTATGAAGACTAGTTAGTCCAAGAAGCTAAAGATCAGTACCTCAGGATAAGGGAACAAAGAAATCATTGCTCAGCTCTTTAAATCCACAATAAAATGATAGTCTTGAAAGCCAGACTTCAAGCAGAAGAAAACTAAATTTGATTTTTTTTTTCCTATCAAGAGCAATGCTTGGTGGATTAATTGTAAAGACAGAAGAATGAATATTTGACTATAGGGAAATTCCTTCTGCAAAGGAAGAGGAAAGCCCTTTAATGCTTGTGAGAGAAGTTCAAGGAAGATGAACATTTCCCCATCATTGGAAAGGGCCCGGTAGAGAGGGGCGATGAGTTGTAGGAGCTGTTTGAAGCAAGGAGGACAGGTATGTATATATGTAGGGAGGAATGGAAAAGAGGAACGTAGAAGAGGGGAGGCAGGGAGTGAGGGGATGTGTCAGAAGGCTGAAGGGAGGAAACAAGAGGCTCTGCTCCCAATCATGTGTATGGTGGTGCAGGTGGTGCTGGATTGGAGGGCTGCCTTTGTGACCCCATAGATTTTATCTTAGGACCGCATCTGAGTCTAATGTCCTGGTACTACCTTACCATCACGTCACCCTCAAACTCTAACTGATCTATCTCCCTGGCTCAATCCATGGCTAGATTTACAAGACTGGAGCTGGGTCAGCTCCTAATGAGAAGCAAACATAGTTTGGGAGCTGGAACTGGACTTCACATTTTGGCAGCAATCTCGGGGGTAAGAAGGAAGGGAAATGCTTTTCAGTTGGGATGGAATGCATAGTTGCTGGGTTACAACACAGAATACATATCTTCGGGTGACTTCCCAGCTGCAGAATCCTGGCTGCAATTAGAGACCTATACGTCTAGCCATTTTATCATTTTTATACATATAGGAGCTCAAGTGTTTGCTCTAGCAGGCTACAGCTGGGTTGCCATCAACTTCCAGCTGTTATTTAGCTGAAACACCATGACTAAAACTGTGGGCCAATATGACTGGAAACCAAATTTGGGGCTGAGTAGAAAAGTTCAGGATGAGTTAATGATGTTTAGTGCTCTTATTGTTTGCTTTGACCAGGTAAACCCCACTCATTGAGAAGAAAGCAAAGGAGGGGAACTTGAAACTCATCCAGACATGTTTGAGCATCCCCGATATAAAACAGGCATGCCCTGCAGACCAGTGTTCTCTCAGCGATGTTCCATTATGCAGGCTTCTGGTTTCCCAGGCTTTCCCAAAGTCACCAACTCAGAGACTTAATTCCAAATAAATATGTTCGGCTGCTTAGAGAAAATATGAATTCAATATTCAACATTCAGTGCAGCGTTGTTGGACAACTGAAAGAAAAATAATATTAATCATGCAGTTGATTCCTTAATAGATGGGATTTAGGGGCAAACTAAATGCATTAAGCTTGCTGTCTGGCACTGGTCTCGGCCTCCTTGCCAAATGAGCTTTCATTCTCCTTTAGATTGAAGCTACTTTCCTTTAAAAAAAAAAAAGTCAGGGGGCCTTTTCAAATTTTTAGCTCGTTTCATTACCAGAAGTATCTGCATTTCTAAGAAGCATCTTTATGAGACCCATATTATGCATTGATCCAGCCTACTACAAAGGTGTTCCTGATGAGTCAATAATACCCCATCACTTATTAATTACTATTTTCACCATCGTTCTGCACATTGGCAAGGAGTCCACAGCACTTTTAGCAACACAGGATTAGGGCTTCACTTCATCTTCCATGGGCTGGGGTGCAGCTGCCCTTGGAGGATGAAGCTCCTTTTTCAAGCAAAGAGTTACAATAGGAAGAGAGAAGTTTTCATGCGGACTGAGCTTGTTTCTGGATGAACGCTGCACCCTGTGGCCATCTCCTTGTGACCTGACTTTGCCATCCCTTTATTCCTGATTATAAAATGCTCTCCGGTGACAGTTCTGGAAGGTCAGGAAAGACTGAAACCAAAAAGAGCTGGCAAGCCCAAGGGCTGGCAGGATGGTTAGAACCTGAGAATATTGGGCAGCTACAGATCCTGGCCAGTTTTATAGCAAGGAGCGTGCGGCACCGTTGGACACCTATGGGCTGAAATGAAAAGAGGATAAGCATCCAGCGGGTTACAGAAAGAGGAGAAGCTGGAAAGCTACACATGCAGGGTTGGCATCCAAGACTCAAGCTGGGAACTCGGCCACTCATCAGGAATCCATGTACAGAGGTCCAAGTCGAATAAAAGTGCATAGGCAGGAGTAGGGCAAATGCATGTAGATGGGCACAGCTGAGACCCAAGTGTCCATAAGCAGGGAGACATAAAAAGAGAGAGGGAGGATTTGAGCTCCAAAAGACACATGGAGATTCACTGTATTGGTCAATATCTCACTTATAGCAATGAGGTTGAGAAATTAAAATTATAATAAAAAGTCTGTACTATAATAAAGGTAATTTCATCACAATTCTCAAGTTCTTTACTCATGACAACTACTGCATGTATCTCTTTAATTCATGCAGCTGTTGCTTGCCTGCTCTGGGAAATGGACTGTGCCCAGGTGCCTGGGTTTTAAAACCAAATCAGACAGATCCCAACGTCCAGCCAGTGAGGCAAATATACACATGACCATGCTAAAATGTGACAGCAAATGTAGTGATGTGATTCACAAAGCAAAAGCATGGAATCATTACTTTTGCCTAAGTAGGGATTGGCACAGTGGGATGAGTTAGGAAAGATTTTAGAAGAGGAGGGACTTATATCCTGAACCTAGAAGAATATGGAAATAGAAGGGACAAACGAGGGAAAGGTAAACTGGGCAAAAGGATCGTAAGCCAAGAAATCGAGAGCTAAATATTCACAGCATGGATCAGGAATCATGAAGCCTTATAGAGAATTTGTCATGTGCCAAACATTGTGCTAAGAACCCTGCATACTTGATCGTTATTTTACAAATAGCACAAAACTGTCAGCCAGCCATTATATAATTATCTCCAAATTAATGATGAGGAGACTAAGCTGTGCAGAGGTTAAGTATCGTGACTAAGGTTCACATCGTAAACAGAAGAACCTAAGTGTCAACCCAGATACAGGTGATGCCAATGCTCAGCCTCTTAGCTGCTCTGCAATCCTGCCTTTCTGAGTGTCTAATGTATTGGGTTTAAAAAGAGGAGGAGAAGGAAAGGAGAGATGTGGTCAAGGTTTGTGAAGAGCTTTGGGTGTGATTTCAAAGTTTAAACCTTTGGACCAGGATTTGTCAAGGGTATTTCTGCAGGCCACCTGGATCAGAATAAGAATAAATTTTGAATGAATACCTCTGCAACACAGAATAAAAATTAAACACATCTCAATATGTTTTAGGAGTTTGCAAACTACGGTCCACAGGCCACATCTGACCCATCATCTGCTTTTGTATAGCCCATGAGCTGAGAATAATTTTTACATTTTTACAAGGGTGAGCAGAAATCAGATGTATATTTTGCGTCATATGAAAATTATGTAAAATTTAAAATTCAGTGTACATAAATACAGTTTTATTGTAACATAGCCATACCCATTTTTTTAGTTATTGTCTGTGGCTGCTTCTGTACTATAACAGCAGAGTTAAAGTTTCATCAGAGACTGTGTAGCTGCAAAACTTAAAATATTTACTATAAGCCCTTGACAGAAAGGATTTGTTTGATCCTGCACATGTATTAAAATAAGTATAGTTGTTCATATATAAGCAGTGAAAAATCATGGGTGGAACTCTGCTGGTATTGGCTCTTAAAGTCTTTTCTTTATTCAGATGTGGCTTTGAGCAGCACTCTTCAAACTTTGCACGAAGATCACTGAAGATTCTGGTAAAATGCAGATTTGAATTTCACAGGTTTGGCACGAGGCCTGAGATTGTGCATTTCTAACAAACTCCAGGTAATGCCAGTGATACTGGCCCACAGACCACACTTGAAGTAGCGACGGCTTAGCAGATCTTCTATTCCCGCCTGTTCTGGTGGCATTTAGACTGTTCAGGGATTGAGATGCTGCTTTGTTTGGCTGGATGTGCTCTGCTCTTCTCTCTGCAAGGAGTTCTCAAAGATGACTAAGGTTCAAAGATAGTTTTCCAAAATCTTTACAAAGCACTAGCAAGTGGGAACTCTTAAATACAGTGAAGTATTCTAAGTAAAGTGGGGCATGTAGAAAAGGTAAAACAGAGTGGAACAATCCGGGAAACTATTTCAAGTGTTTTTCAGTCACCTCCAGTGATTCTGATCTGGCCTGATGTAAAGTTTTGAAAAAGTTCTCATAGCAGTTCTCTAGAATTCATCTCAGTCGAACAATACAGCTGCAGATTTGGAAGGAAACAGACCCCAATAGAGGAAAGAGATGCTTTGGAATTTCTTGATAAGACATGGAATCAATTGATAATAGGCTCTCTTTTAAATGCATTTCCTACTCAGGCAGTAGTATTTCAGTGTGCCAAGGGTGAGAGAGTACTCAAGCTTAGGCGAACTAAATGCACCGAAACGTGGAAGAAGCCAGCCTGTTTCTATTTTAACACATGCTTCCTTAAAGAATACCTTTGGGCTCAAGAGGGTCTTAGTCACATAATCAAAAACCACTCAGATTCATAACTGATCCCTTGCATTTTCAATTTGGGAAAATATTAAGGTTTATCTGTTTTTTCTTTATGTTCATCTGATTAAAAAGTGGCCCAGGACATTATGAACACATGTTACAATAACTCCTCTCTGCTGGTGCACAAATAAAAATGATTCGCTGCCCTCCTCTGTGCAGTTCTTTCCACCTCACACTCCCTCCAAAGTGTACAAAACCTGCCTTGCTTCATTCATCTCCTCTATCAGCCTTCCCCTCATGGTTTCTCCCAAAGTCTGTGCCTTCTTGCAATTACAGGTTCTCAATTACACACACTTGTTACTTGCTTGAGGGGAGAGAAAGTATACTTCCTCTTTCAGCAGCTGCTCAAGCCAGATGTTGCACTGGCAGGCTGTGATTGGCTGGCAGATGAAAAAGAATGGCTCTTCACGGATAGATAAGAGGAGAGATGTAAACAAACCTATTTCAGCACTAAAGCAGCAGGTCTTCATTAACCTGATTGGAAATGTCCTTCAAACTTGAACTGGAAAACAGGGAGGATATTGTCACAAGATCATTCAGCTGAATACTGACTGCTCCCTCCCTGGCTAAAATAGCAAGAAGCTTCATTTGAGGAGATCATAACAGTATTCAAGATGAGCTGGGATTCATTTAAGCTGCATCTGCATTGGTAAGCAATAATTGTAGGGATGCAGAAGTTTGTTTATTTTAACAGCTAAATGTTTGTGTCTCAAAAACCAATGAAACTTTTCTGTAATCACTTTGGAAATGTGCTTGAACCATTTCATCTACCCAAATCTTTCCATTGTGTTTCTCAGGCAATGACAATAGACAGTGATTGGGGCAGAGTTAAGTAATCATCAACTTTTCCCCCTGCCTCCTTGGAGCAAGCCTGAAACTGAATGAAAAATAAAAATAAAATTTTAAGCTCCCTAATGGACTGAAGGGACACCCTCTTGGTCAAGAGGAACTGCAGAGAAACCTCAGAATATGAGTTCCTGGCCATGATGGGATGGGAGGTCAGACAAGCCTCATTATACCTCCTCCCTCGCTAACTGCCATTAGGCATTTTTTCCTAGGGGTTAAATAAACCAGACCTTTGGAAAGACTGGCTCCACCATCGATATCAACCAAACCCCTGACACCAACCACCTTAAACTGCCCCTCTCTTTTGCAGTTTCAGCCCAACTACCAACTAGCATTCCTTGCTGATAAGAGACCATCAACCATGAAGTGGTTCTGGCCAGTCTACAGAGGATGTACAGTGAGGGTTTTCATGTTCTCTGCTTCACATTTTTATGTCAGAGGACTGAAAACTGCACCCTCAGATCATGCCAATGCCGCCATATTTTGAACATGGGCCCCATGGAGAGGCATGCAGCTCAGTTGAGCATATACATGTTTCTCCTTTTATACATATTCATGACTCCTCCTCTAGCTTATAAATACGTATATTCAGCCACCCCTCTCAGCATAATTTTTGTTCCCTTTTCTTCTCCCTTGAAGTGTCTGTTTCTGGCTTCTGACTGGAGGCTATGTTTCCCAGCCTGTCAGAATGGCCCCCCTGCAGACAGTAACTCTTTATGAGAAATACAGCTCTCCTTTCCAAATTTATGAACCTTGTCATCCTTCATCTGACATAATGAGACATACTTTGCTTGGCTGATGAAGCTTTTGTTGGAATGATTAAGATCATGTAAAGCAAAATGATTGAAAAAAAAATCTGATCTATGTTGACTGTGTATAGACCCAGTTTGGACATTCTGGGTGGCAAGAACATGACTACAAGACACAAAGTAGGTGAAATATGCCAAGGTTACATGTAAAACTACATTTCATTTGTTTCCTCTCCTCATGTTATGCAGGTGAGATTAATTCAAGTAGACGGTCTTCACACTGCTTCTTAATATAAAACATGAAGGGTCCAGCCAGGGTTTCAGTGCAGTTTGTTTCAATTATAGGTATCGAAAGTCACCAGATGAAATAGGAGGAGAAAAAAGCATCTCATTCAGAATAGATTATGGGAAATCATTATTTTTTTAATCCAAAGTAGAGTTAATCCTTCTAAAAGATTAGACATTTATGGCACACTGGACTGGCATCTGCAGCTACACTCCTGGGGATAAAGCATGGCAGAGGCCATCCATCTCCATGCTCTGGGCAAGAGTCAATAATAACAATAATTAATAACCATTTGTGCTCTCTAGCTCCCTTCAGCTGGGATCTCAGAATATTTTACTAACCCAAATTCATTAAGCCTCAAACTACACCTGAGCATTCAGGAAGTACTTGAAGGCTAGCCTTGTTATTATTTTATATTCATATTGCATCTTTCCTCCAAGGAGCTCAAAAGGATTATAAATATATTACAAAAGTAGGTTAACTCATCACAGTTATAAGTCAGGAACACATTGCTTCTGTCTCCTTTGCAGAGGAGTTCCTAAGCTGTGAACGATGAGTAAGGCTGGGAACAACACAGCAGACTACTGGACTTATCTCTGGCAGCATCTATACATTACTTTTTCTGTTCAATGTTTAACCTCTCTAGAAGCAAACATGGCTTTCCCTCTGTCATTCCACTTCTCAGCTATATTAAATGAGTCATTTGAGTAAAACACAACCCCTTCTACTGCAGTCAAGTCTTGAGTCAGACAATATCTATCAGAGATGCTATATTGGGATTTCAGAAGGGTGAACAACAAACCAGGTGACCGCCAAAGTTCTGTCTAGTTCTAAGATGATGATTTGGCAGAATCTGAAGAAAATAAAGTGCAAAACAGGTAATTCTGAGTTACCATTCCATTATAGGAATTAATACTGAATAAATAATCAATGATATAGGAAAAGATTGGCAACAGTGCAACAGTTCATGACACTGCTGTTCTTAAGACTGGAAAACTGGAAGCAAGTAAAATTCCAAAAACAGGATAGTCGTGCCATAAACATAAGCACCACAATTTGGAAAATTATTAATATGCATTCATTGCATATTCCAACCCAAGCTCAACATGTCTTAGGATTCAGAGATAGAAGCTATAAGAATAATAAAAGAACGCAGAAAGTCCTGCTCCCAGAAGGTCACATATTCAATACAGGGCAGTAGTAAGAGCATGGGATCTGGAAGCAACTGATTTAAATTTTATTCCCAGCCCTTTGTGTGATCCAGAACAAGGGACATGAACTTAATAGACTTTGACTTCCTTTTTCATAAACTGGTTTAAAATATCTACCTAAATTGTTCAAGGAAAGCTTAGGAAAGCATCTAGCACATAGTAGGTACTCAATATCCTTATTGCCAAGAAACCCTCAAGAAATCCTCTAAACATGGCAAGCCAATGAGACAGAAAAATGACTTTTTTTTTTTTTTTTTTGCTCTCATTGTCCTTCAACTGTTATGTTCAAGTTGCATTTCATGGGAAAGATTTTATTCCTCTTCTTCCTCTTTTGTTCTGCTACCTCCCTCTTAACTGATAAATCCTACCCATTGAAAATAGTCACCAGCCTTAAATGGCAGGAGAAAAAACATGTCAAGAATATCCAAGTAGTACTTTTGCTATTGGAATAAGCTTCCAAGTTCTTAGCATGATGATCAAAACCCTTCACATACTTCCTAGGCTTCAACCAGACTAGAATGCTCACCATTGCCTAAATATTCTTAGCCTTTCTGACCTTATGTGCTTTCTTCATGCTGTTCCTATGGCCTTATAATCTCCATCTCTTAAAATCCTGCCTAGCCTCAGAGGGCAATCTCTTTGCCATACCTTCCAAGAAAACATGATCTTATCTTCCTTTCTGCTTGAGTCTGTATGACAGTATATATTACATTCTTCCCTCTCATATGTATATATATTTATTCATAGGCATTTGTAGGTTTTATTCCTCTGTAACACTGTGTACTTTTTAAAAGGATGACATCACATTCATCTTTTCATAGTACTAGATTCAAATAAACTCTTATCCTCATGATTGATGTTCAATGAATGTTTATAAAATAGAATTTAATTGACTCATTTCTGGTGCAATTTCCCTTGATAAGATTTTTCACCACTAATTTCCATTAGCATGACAAAAATAGCCACAAACCTGAACTCTAACATAAGCATTTAAGAGAAAAAAATGAACTTTGAGTGCTTTGAAAATTAGTAAAACTTTTTTTAAATTGTGTACATTTACAGTATACAATATGATGTTATGGGATACATATAGATGGTAAAAAAGGTTATCATACTGAAGCAAATTAATATATTCATCACTTCACATAGTTACTCTTTTTTATTATTATACTTTAAGTCCTAGGGTGCATGTGCACAACGTGCAGGTTTGTTACATGTGCCATGTTGGTGTGCTACACACATTAACTTGTCATTTACATTAGGTATATTTCCTAATGCTATCCCTCCCCCCTCTCCCCACCCCACAACAGGCCCCAGTGTGTGATGTTCCCCTTCCTGTGCTCAAGTGTTCTCATTGTTCAATTCCCACCTATGAGTGAGAACATGTGGTGTTTGGTTTTTTTGTCCTTGCGATAGTTTGCTGAGAATGATGGTTTCCAGCTTCATCCATGTCCCTACAAAGGATATGAATTCATCCTTTTTTATGGCTGCATAGTATTCCATGGTGTATATGTGCCACATTTTCTTAATCCAGTCTATCATTTTTGGACATTTGGGTTGGTTCCAAGTCTTTGCTATTGTGAATAGTGCCGCAATAAACATACGTGTGCATGTGTCTTTATAGCAGCATGATTTATAATCTTTTGGGTATATACCCAGTAATGGGATGGCTGGGTCAAATGGTATTTCTAGTTCTAGGTCCTTGAAGAATCGCCACACTGTCTTCCACAATGGTTGAACTAGTTTACAGTGCCACCTGTAAAACAGGGTAAAAGTGTTCCTATTTCTCCACATCCTCTCCAGCACCTGTTGTTTCCTGACTTTTTAATGATCACCATTCTAACTGGTGGGAGATGGTATCTCATTGTGGTTTTGATTTGCATTTTTCTGATGGCCAGTGATGATGAGCATTTTTTCATGTGTCTGTTGGTGGCATAAATGTCTTCTTTTGAGAAGTGTCTGTTCATATCCTTTGCCCACTTGTTGATGGCGTTGTTTTTCTTCTTCTAAATTTGTTTGAGTTCATTGTAGATTCTGGATATTAGCCCTTTGTCAGATGAGTAGATTGCAAAATTTTTCTCCCATTCTGTAGGTTGCCTGTTCACTCTGATGGTTGTTTCTTCTGCTGTGCAGAAGCTCTTTAGTTTAATTAGATCTCATTTGTCAATTTTGGCTTTTGTTGCCATTGCTTTTGGTGTTTTAGACAGGAAGTCCTTGCCCATGCCTATGTCCTGAATGGTATTGCCTAGGTTTTCTTCTAGGGTTTTTATGGTTTTAGGTCTAACATTTAAGGCTTTAATCCATCTTGAATTGATTTTTGTATAAGGTGTAAGGAAGGATCCAGTTTCAGCTTTCTACATGTGGCTAGCCAGTTTTCCCAGCACCATTTATTAAACAGGGAATCCTTTCCCCATTTCTTGCTTTTGTCAGGTTTGTCAAAGATCAGATGGTTGTAGATGTGTGGTATTCTTTCTGAGTGCTCTGTTGTGTTCCATTGGTCTATATCTCTGTTTTGGTACCAGTATCGTGCTGTTTTGGTTACTGTAGCCTTGTAGTAGAGTTTGAAGTCAGGTAGTGAGATGCCTCCAGCTTTGTTCTTTTGGCTTAGGATTGTCTTGGCAATGTGGGTTCTTTTTTGGTTCCATATGAACTTTAAAGTAGTTTTTTCCAATTCTGTGAAGAAAGTCATTGGTAGCTTGATGGGGATGGCATTGAATCTATAAATTACCCTGGGCAGTATGGCCATTTTCATGATATTGATTCTTCCTATCCATGAGCATGGAATGTTCTTCCATTTGTTTGTGTCCTCTTTTATTTTGTTGAGCAGTGGTTTGTAGTTCTCCCTGAAGAGGTCCTTCACATCCCTTGTAAGTTGGATTCCTAGGTATTTTATTCTCTTCGAAGCAATTGTGAATGGCAGTTCACTCATGATTTGCCTCTCCGTTTTTCTCTTATTGGTGTATAAGAATGTTTGTGATTTTTGCACATTGATTTTGTATCCTGAGACTTTGCTGAAGTTGCTTATCAGCTTAAGGAGATTTCGGGCTGAGACAATGGGGTTTTCTAAATATACAATCATGTCATCTGCAAACAGCAACAATTTGACTTCTTCTTTTCCTAATTGAATACCCTTTATTTCTTTCTCCTGCCTGATTGCCCTGGTCAGAACTTCCAACACTATGTTCAGTAGGGGTGGTGAGAGAGGGCATCTCTGTCTTGTGCCCGTTTTCAAAGGGAATGCTTCCAGTTTTTGCCCATTCAGTATGATATTGGCTGTGGGTTTGTCATAAATAGCTCTTATTATTTTGAGATACGTCCCTTCAGTACCTAATTTATTGAGAGTTTTTAGCATGAAGGGCTGTTGAATTTTGTCAAAGGCCTTTTTGCATCTATTGAGATAATCATGTGGGTTTTGTCTTTCATTCTGTTTATATGCTGGATTATGTTTCTTGATTTGCGTATGTTGAATCAGCCTTGCATCCCAGGGATGAAGCCCACTTGATCATGGTGGATAAGCTTTTTGATGTGCTGCTGGATTTGGTTTGCCAGTATTTTATTGAGGATTTTTGCATCAATGTTCATCAGGGATATTGATCTAAAATTCTCTTTTTTTGTTGTGTCTCTGCCAGGCTTTGGTCTCAGAACGATGCTGGCCTCATAAAATGAGTTAGGGAGAATTCCCTCTTTTTCTGTTAATTGGAATAGTTTCAGAAGGAATGTTACCAGCTCCTCGTTGTACCTCTGGTAGAATTTGGCTGTGAATACATCTGGTCCTGAACTTTTTTTGGTTGGTAAGCAATTAATTATTGCCTCAATTTCAGAGCCTGTTATTGGTCTATTCAGAGATTCAACTTCTTCCTGGTTTAGTCTTGGGAGGGTGTATGTGCCCAGGAATTTATCCATTTCTTCTAGATTTTCTACTTTATTTGCGTAGAGGTGTTTATAGTATTCTCTGATGGTAGTTTGTATTTCTGTGGAATCGGTGGTGATATCCCCTTTATCATTTTTTATTGCGTCTATTTGATTCTTCTCTCTTTTCTTCTTTATCAGTCTTGCTAGCAGTCTATCAATTTTGTTGATCTTTCAAAAAACCAGCTCCTGGATTCATTGATTTTTTGAAGGGTTTTTTTGTGTCTCTATCTCCTTCAGTTCTACTCTGATCTTAGTTATTTCTTGCCTTCTGCTAGCTTTTGAATGTGTTTGCTCTTGCTTCTCTAGTTCTTTCAATTGTGATGTTAGGGTGTCAGTTTTAGATCTTTCCTGCTTTCTCTTGTGGGCATTGAGTGCTATAAATTTCCCTCTACACACTGCTTTAAATGTGTCCCAGAGATTCTGGTATGTTGTGTGTTTGTTCTCATTGGTTTCAAAGAACATCTTTTTTTCTGCCTTCATTTCATTATGTAACCAGTAGTCATTCAGGAGCAGGTTGTTCAGTTTCCATGTAGTGGAGCAGTTTTGAGTGAGTTTCTTAATCCTGAGTTCTAGTTTGATTGCACTGTGGTCTGAGAGACACTTTGTTATAATTTCTGTTCTTTTACTTTTGCTGAGGAGTGCTTTACTTCCAACTATGTGGTCAATTTTGGAATAAGTGCAATGTGGTGCTGAGAAGAATGTATATTCTGTTGATTTGGGGTGGAGAGTTCCGTAGATGTCTATTAGGTCTGCTTGGTGCAGAGCTGAGTTCAATTCCTGGATATCCTTGTTAACTTTCTGTCTCATTCATCTGTCTCATGTTGACAGTAGGGTGTTAAATTCTCCCATTATTATTGTGTGGGAGTCTAAGTCTCTTTGTAGGTCTCTAAGGACTTGCTTTATGAATCTGGGTGCTCCTGTATTGGGTGCATATATATTTAGGATGGTTAGCTCTTCTTGTTGAATTGATCCCTTTACCATTATGTAATGGCCTTCTTTGTCTCTTTTGATCTTTGTTGGTTTAAAGTCTGTTTTATTAGAGACTAGGATTGCAACCCCTGCCTTTTTTTGTTTTCCATTTTCTTGGTAGATCTTTCTCCACCCCTTTATTTTGAGCCTATGTGTGTCTCTGCACTTGAGATGGGTCTCCTGAATACAGCACACTGATGGGTTTTGATTCTTTATCCAATTTGCCAGTCTGTGTCTTTTAATTGGAGCATTTAGCCCATTTACATTTAAGGTTAATATTGTTAGGTGTGAATTTGATCCTGTCATTATGATGTTAGCTGGTTATTTTGCTCATTAGTTGATGCAGTTTCTTCCTAGCATCGATGGTCTTTACAATTTAGCACGTTTTTGCAGTGGCTGGTACTGGTTGTTCCTTTCCATATTTAGTACTTCCTTCAGGAGCTCTTGTAAGGCAGGCCTGGTGGTGACAAAATCTCTCAGCATTTGCTTGTCTGTAAAGGATTTTATTTCTCCTTCTCCTTCATTTATGAAGCTTAGTTTGGCTGGATATGAAATTCTGGGTTGAAAATTCGTTTCTTTAAGAATGTTAAATATTGGCCCCCACTCTCTTCTGGCTTGTAGAGTTTCTGCTGAGAGATCCGCTGTTAGTCTGATGGGCTTCCCTTTGTGGGTAACCCGACCTTTCTTTCTGGCTGCCCTTAACATTTTTTCCTTCATTTCAACTTTGGTGAATCTGACAATTATGTGTCTTGAAGTTGCTCTTCTTGATGAGTATCTTTGTGGCATTCTCTGTATTTCCTGAATTTGAATGTTGGCCTGCCTTGCTAGGTTGGGGAAGTTCTCCTGGATAATATCCTGCCGAGTGTTTTCCAACTTGGTTCCATTCTCCGCATCACTTTCAGGTAAACCAATCAGACGTAGATTTGGTCTTTTCACATAGTCTCGTATTTCTTGGAGGCTTTTTGCATTTCTTTTTACTCTTTTTTCTCTAAACTTCTCTTCTCACTTCTTTTCATTCATTTGATCTTCAATCACTGATACCCTTTCTTCCAGTTGATCGAATTGCCTACTGAAGCTTGTGCATTCATCACATAGTTCTCGTGTCATGGTTTTCAGCTCCATCAGGTCATTTAAGGACTTCTCTACACTGGTTATTCTAGTTAGCCATTCTTCTAATCTTTTTTCAAGGTTTTTAGCTTCTTTGCAGTGGGTTCGAACTTCCTTCTTTAGCTTGGAGAAGTTTAATCGTCTGAAGCCTTCTTCTCTCAGCGCGTCAAAGTCATTCTCTGTCCATCTTTGTTCCGTTGCTGGCAATGAGTCGCGTTCCTTTGGAGGGGGAGAGGCACTCTGATTTTTAGAATTTTCAGCTTTTCTGCTCTGTTTTTTCCCCACTTTTGTGGTTTTATCTGCCTTTGGTCTTTGAAGATGGTGACGTACAGATGGGGTTTTGGTGTAGATGTCCTTTCTGTTTATTAGTTTTCCTTCTAACATTCAGGACCCTCAGCTGCAGGTCTGTTGGAGTTTGCCGGAGGTCCACTCCAGACCCTTTTGCCTGGGTATTAGCAGCAGAGGCTGCAGAACAGCGAATATTGCTGAACAGCAAATGTTGCTGCCTGATCATTCCTCTGAAAGCTTCGTCTCAGAGGGGTACCTGGCCATGTGAGGTGTCAGTCTGCCCCTACTGGGGGGTGCCTCCCAGTTAGGCTACTCAAGGATCAGGGACCCACTTGAGGAGGCAGTCTGTCCGTTCTCAGGTCTCAACCTCCATGCTGGGAGAACCACTACTGTCTTCAAAGCTGTCAGACAGGGACATTTAAGTCTGCAGAGGTTTCTGCTGCCTTTTGTTTGGCTATGCCCTGCCCCCAGAGGTGGAGCCTACAGACGCAGGCAGGCCTCCTTGAGCTGCAGTGGGCTCCACCCAGTTCGAGCTTCCTGGCAGCTTTGTTTACCTACTCAAGCCTCAGCAATGGTGGGTGCCCCTCCATCAGGCTTGCTGCCGCCTTGCAGTTCGATCTCAGACTGCTGTGCTGGCAATGAGTGAGGCTCCGTGGGTGTGGGACCCTCTGAGCCAGGCACGGGATATAATTTCCTGGTGTGCCACTTGCTAAGACCATTGGAAAAGCGCAGTATTAGTGTGGGAGTGACCTGATTTTCCAGGTGCCATCTGTCACAGCTTCACTTAGCTAGGAAAGGGAATTCCTTGACCCCTTGTACCTCCTGGATGAGGCAATGCCTTGCCCTTCTTCGGCTGACACTCAGTTGGCTGCATCCACTCTCCTGCACCCACCGTCCGACAAGCCCCAGTGAGATGAACCCGGTACCTCAGTTGGAAATGCAGAAATCACCTGTCTTCTGCGTCACTCACACTGGGAGCTGTAGACTTGAGCTATTCCTATTTGGCCATCTTGGAACCTCCCAATCTAGTTACTCATTTTTTGTGTGTGTCAAAATCAGCCAAAATCTACTCATTAAAAATAAATACCAAACAGTGCAATTTTATTACTTGAGTCCAGCAACACATATTCATTCTTATGAAATTCAGACCAGTCATCTAGGTGGGGGTTTTCCAGCCCACTACATGTAGAAGTTCAAGTCCACACAATTTTCCAAAGGAAAATTTGGCACAATTTATCAAAAACAAGGAAAATTTCCAGAGGCTCAATCCAGCCACTCCATTATGGGAATTAATACCGAGTTAATAATCAATGATATAGGCAAACGTTGGCAACAGTGCAACACTAGAAGGAACTAAAATTCCAAAAACAGCATAGTCATGCCATAAACATAAGCATCACAATTTGGAAAAATTATTAAGATCAAATAAATTGTTTTCCAGTCCTATGATAAAATGCCTTCTATGTAGTCATTGAAATACTGTCTCAGAATAGTTTTGATATGAAGAAAATACATACATTAACACAAAGTATGTACACATGACCTTTTTTAAAAAAAACAAATAGAAAAAAATATACACACTACATACACATAGAAAATGATGAAACTTTATACCCTAAAATATTAACAGTTATTAACTGACAGAAATAAAACTCTAGGCAATTTGATTTTCTTCTTTGTGCTTTTCTTTTTTACTTTAATTTGTATTTACTGGAAATCAAAGCTAATAGATAAAAAAAGATCAATAGAGAAAAATTTTCCTAACAACTGACCAATAATTTTTCACCTGCATTATCTCCTTGAATACTTAGAATGGCCCTGGGAGGGGGCCTCACTCTTCCTATCACATTCAGTCCTTCCCTGGAAAGCCATCTAGACTGGATCAGGGTCCCATTCTGGGTTCCTAGAACAAAATCCAGTACCCAAACCTATATTTTTGTGCATAGGAGAAATTGGGATGAAACCTAAATGCTACAAAATTAGAGAACAGTATTCTCTATAAAGGACTTATAAAGGCATTATAATGATATTTTAAAGTAACATTTCATTTAATCTAATGTTAAAGTAATATATACTATTGTAGTTATAAGAATATTTATAAAATGGATTGAAAGAAATCCATTAAAATATTAACTGTGATTAAACTTTGATTCTGGGCTAATGGGTTATTTTATTGTTCTGTTTTTTGTTTTTTGAGATGGAAATCTTGCTCTGTCATCCAGACTAGAGTGCAGTGGTGCAATCTCGGCTCACTGCAACCTTTGCCTTTTGGGCTCAAGCAATTCTTCTGCCTCAGCCTCCCAAGTAGCTGGGATTACAGGCCTGTGCCATCACACCTGGCTAATTTTTGTATTTTTAGTAGAGACGGGGCTTCATCATGTTGGCCAGGCTGGTCTTGAACTCCTGACCTCAGGTGATCCACCCATCTCAGCCTCCCAAAATACTGGGATTACAGGCGTGAGCCGTGGCGCCCAATCTATTCTATTATTTTTGCCTATATTTTTTAAATGTTCTCCAATTAGCATGTTCTCCAGTTGCAATATTTATAGTCAGATTAAAGAACATTTAACAAACATACTGTAATACTGGTCTCTTTGCATTACCTGTAAAATTGTATAATGTTAGGAAGTGCATCTACTTACCACAATGCCTACCACTGTGACTAGAGCACACAAAGATGTAATTATAAGCTTGTTGAGGAACCAATTAATGAATTGTCAATTCACTGGCCAATCAGATGTCGGAGAGGATATCTTAGCCTAAGGCCATAGAAGCAAAGGAGTAAAAATGCCTGAACCTTAACCAGGTCTTGTAATCACCAAAGCCCATGAACTTTGTCACTTTGTCTTTCTGATATGAATCCTCTAGTCATCTGGACTAGTTTCCTGGGGCTGCTGGAACAAATTACCACAAACTTGGTGATAACAGAAATGTATTCTCTCACACTTCTGGAGGTCATAAGTCTGAAATCAAGGTGTCAGCAATACCAGCCTCCTTCCAAACTCTCTAGGGGAGGATCCTACCTTGCTGCTGCCAGCTCCTGGTGACTCCAGGCTTTCCTTGGCTCATGGCTGCATCACACCAGTCAGTGGTTCTGTCTTCACATGACCTTCTTCTTTGTGTGTCCTCTCTTGTGTGTCTTATAAGCACACTTGTCATTGGATTTATGGTTTACTCAGATAAACTAGGGTAATCTCATTTTGAGATCTTTAACTTAGTGACATTTGCCAACATTGTCTTTCAAAACAAGATCATATTCGTGGGTTCCTATGGTCAAGACATGCCAATATCTTTTTGGAGGTCACCATTCGACCTACTACATCACCCTTAAAATGACCCTCAGTTTTAAAAATAGAATTTCCTCTATTTTTCACATTAGTGCACATTTTACTTTGAATATAGAAGCACTGGAATGCCCTAAAGAGGGAAAATTTACAAAGAGAAGCCAACACCACTGTAATACTCTGTCCTCACCAAATATTAGAAATGTGATTTAAATATCAATCACATACAAAAAAATTGAAGAGGAGTGAATGCTTCCAAATTCATTTTACGAGGCCAGTGTTGATCTGATAGCAAAGCCAGATGAGGAAGCTATAAAAAAAAAAAAAAAAACTATAGGCCAATATCCTTGATTAACAGATACAAAAATTCTCACAAAATACAAACAAAGTGAATTTAACAGCACATTGAAACAGTCAAACACTGAGATCAAGTGGAATTTGTCCCTGAGATACAAAGATGGTTCATCATATACAAATCAATAAATGTTATACACCATCTTAATAGAATGAAGGATGAAAATCATATGACTGTCTCAATAGATGCAGAAAAAGCATTTGACAAAATTCAACATGCTTTCATGATAGAACCAGTCAACCAATTAGATGTAGAAGAAAACTATCTTAATATTAAAAAGGTCATATATAATATTTAAAAGGCCATTTATGTCAATCCCACAACTAACATTATATTCAGTGGTAAAAAAGTGAAAGATTTTCCTCTTAGATCAGGAAGAAGGCAAGGATGCCCTCTCTCACTACTCCTATTCAGTATAGTACTGGAAGTCCTAACAAGGGCAATTTGGCAAGAAAAGGAAATAAAAGGCATAAAAATTGAAAAGGAATAAGTAAAATTATCTCTGCTTGCAGGTGACATAATTTTAGATATAGAAAATCCTAAAGACTCCACCAAAACACTGTTGGAACTAATAAACAAATTCAGTAATGCTGCAAGACACATAATTAGCACACAAAAATCAGTAAAATTTCTATACACTAACAAAGAACTATCCCCCCAAAATCAATCAAACAATCCCATTTACAATAGCATTAAAAAAACACTTAGAAATGCATTTAACTGAGCTGAAAGATGTGTACACTGAAACTATAAAACACTGATGAAAGAAATTTAAGACGACACAAATAAATGGGAAGACGTCTCATGTTTAAGAATTGAAAAAGTTAATATTGCTAAAATGTCCATGCTACAAGTGATCTACAACTTCAATGCCATCCCTCTCAAAATTACAATGGTATTTTTCATAGAAGTAGAAAAAGCAATCATAAAATACATATGGAACCACAAAAGACACTGACTGGTCAAAACAATCTTGAGCATAAAGAACAAAGCATACCACGAACTTGTAGAAATTAAAACAGAATGGTACCAGCATAAAAATAGACATACAGACCAATGAAACACAATAGAGATCTTAGAAATTAATCCATGCAATTACAATCAACTGATCAACAACAGTGCCAAGGACAGACAATGGTGGAAGGACAGCCTCTTCAGTAATTGATTTTGAAAAAACTAGATAGTCACATGCAAAAGAATAAAATTGGACCTGTATCTCACATTATATACAAAGTCAATTCGAAATAAATTAATCACTTAAAATCCAGATCCAAAATTGTAAAACTATTAGAAGGAAACATAGGCAAAAACTTATTAACATTAGTCTGGACCATGATGCTTGGCTACGATCTCTAAAGCACAGGCAATAAAAGCAAAAATGGGCAAATGGAATTGTGTCATACTAAAATGCTTCTGCACAGCAGAGGAAACATCTGACAGAATGAAAGAACAACCTACAGAATGGGGGAATATATTTATATACCATACATCTGTAAGGGGCTAACATCCAAAATATATAAGGAATTCAAACCAATAGCAAGAAACAAGTAACCTGATTTTTTAAATGGCAAAAGGACCTAAATAGACATTTCTCAAAAGAAGACATACAAATGGCCAACAGATAGATAAAAAAAAGTTCAACTTCACTAATCATCTGGGAAACGCAAGTTAAAATGACAATGAGATATCACCTCATACCAGTGAGAATAGTTTTGAACAAAAAGACAAAATATAACAAGTATTGGAGAGTGTGTAAGGAAAAATACCCTTTGTATACTGTTGGTGGCAAGCAAATTGGTACCGGCATCCTAGAAAACAATATGGAGCTTCAAAAAATACTACAATGAACTACCCTATGATCCAGCAATCCCCCTTCTGGGTACATATCCAACAGAAATGACATCAGTATGTCCAAGAGATCTCTGCCCTCCCATATTCAGTACAGCACTACTCACAATAGCCAGGATACAGAATCAATCTAAGTGTCCATGGAGAGATGAATGGATAAAGAAAATGTGACCCATACATACATACAATGAAATAGTACTCATCCTTAGAAAACAGGGAAATCCTCCAACTCAGGATGAACCTAGAGGATATTATGCTAACTGAAATAAGCTGTGCATATAAATATAAATACTACATGGTCTCACTTATATGTGGAATCTAAAAAACTTCTAACTCATAGAAGCAGTCAGTCAAAGGTTGATTACCAGAGGCTGAGGGAATTGGAAAAGGAAATGGACAAAAAGCTGTTGGTCAAATGGTACAAAGTTTCAGTTAGACAGTATGAGTAAGTTCTGGAGAACTTGTACTTCAAGGTGCCTATAGTTAATAATAATGTATTTTATACTTGAAAATTGCTATCAGAGATCTTGAATATTCTCATCACAAAAAAAACAAACTTTGTGAGGTGTTGGCTACATTAACTAGCTTGACTGATAAGCATTTAACCATTTCACAATGAATATATATATCTAAACATCACATTGTGCACCATAAATACATACAATTTGTATTTGTAAATTATACCTTGATAAAGACAAAAAGTCAATCATAGGCCCCTCTGCCTACCCCACTTCATTTAGGTTCCAAGAGGGGAGGCAAAAATGTCTATTCCCCTTCAGCTTCAAGATGAATAGTTCCTCTCTCCTAATTTCTTTACATCCCCTCTCATGTCTATCCTACAAAACACTCTTTTAATACCATAATTGCTGAATTATTAGCGAAAGAATTTACAAACTCTACTCATTATTCCTTGGTGATGAAGAGAAATGCTATGAACATGAACAACACAATTTTAATAAGCACAGGAGCCTTATTAGTCAGTGTTTAGTCCAATTTAAATCTGAAAAAAATGGAAGCTCCACCAAGGGCTAATAATGAGGTCATTTAAGACACATCAAACAATTCTCTCCTCAGAAGAAGAGGAACGGCAATGTCTGTCCATAACAGGTGTTTCCAAGCTCCTCTGTGGGGAAGGTGACCTGCCCCTGGAATTAGCCTGAATCAAAATGAGGGAGCCAAGTGCCCAGAATGCAGATTCCAGCAGTGCGGTCTGGGAAACTACACCCCAAGCTTAACAAGCCTCATTCTCTAGGGAGGCTCAGTAATTTAAGCTTCAGCATGCCAAAATTTTGTGCGATGGACAGGGTTTCTAGATTTCCGTTCTCAAAGACAGACCTTGCAAAGTTTGCCTAAAGATCCAATTTAGGACCAGTTAGAAAAAAGGTATCTAAGGACTTGAATGCCTGTCTAATGCTTTCTTCTTGCGGAGAGGAGGAGAAGCAGACATGCAATTTTTCTTCAAGGCCTTAGTGTGAATTATCCAAGTATCTGCAGGTAGGAAGTTCCCTATCTGTCCCCCTACTCTCATTATATACTTGCATGTCTGGGAGTAGGGACAAAATGATTTAAGTCATATTCCTGCCCCAAGGAGTTTACAGTCTAATGGGCAGAAACATGCTAGTAAAAGAAAATAAAGGAACATCTGTAAAGGTGAAATAAACAAGCAGAAATGATGCAGCAGGATTTCTGGGCAAGATGACCAAATAGAAACAGCTCCAGTCTGCAGCTCCCAGCCAGACCAACACAGAGATGAGTGATTTCTTCATTTCCAACTGAGGTACCTGGTTCATCTCACTGGAACTGGTTAGACAGTGGGTGCAACCCATGGAGCAGAAGCAGGGTGAGCAGAAGCAGGGTTGGGGCATCGCCTCACCCAGGAAGTGCAAGGGGTTGGGGAACTCCCTACCTAGCCAAGGGAAGCCCTGAAATACTGTGTGATGAGGGGCAGTGCATTCTGGCCAAGACACTATACCTTTCCCATGGTCTTCGCAACCCTCAGACCAGGAGATTCCCTCAGATGCCTATTTCACTAGTGCCCTGGGTTTCAAGAACAAAACGGCAAGGCCATTTGGGCAGACACAGAGCTAGCTGCAGGAGTTTTTTATTCATACCCCAGTGGGGCCTGGAATGCCAGCGAGAGAGAACCTTTCACTGCCCTGGAAAGGGGGCTGAAGTCAGCAAGCCAAATGGTCTTGCTCAGGAGAACTCACCCCAACAGAGCCCAGCAAGCTAAGATCATTGGCTTGAAATTCTTGCTGCCAGCACAGCAGTCTGAAGTCGACCTTGGATGATCAAGCTTGGTGGGGGGAGGAGTGTCCGCCATTGCTGAGGCTTGAGTAGGCAGTTTTCCCCTCACAGTGTAAACAAAGCCATCAGGAAGTTCGGACTGGGCGGAGCCCACCACAGCTCTCCAAAGCCTCTGTAGCCAGACTGCATCTCTAGATTCCTCCTCTCGGGGCAGGGCCTCTCTGAAAGAAAGGCAGCAGCCCCAGTCAAGGGCTTAAAGACAAAACTCCCACCTCCCTGGGAGAGACCCCCTGAGGGAAAGGGTGGCTCTGGGAGCAGCTTCAGCAGAATTAAATGTTCCTGCACGCGGGTTCTGAAGAGAGCAGCAGATCTCCCAGCACAGTGCTCCAGCTCTGCTAAGGGACAGACTGCCTCCTCAAGTGGGTCCCTGATCCCCATGACTCCAGATGGGGAGACACTTCATACAGGAGAGCTCTGGCTGGCATCTGGTGGGTGCCCCTCTGGGATGAAGCTTCCAGAGGAAGAAGCAGGCAGCAATTTTTGCTGTTCTGCAGCCTCCACTGCTGATACCCAGGCATATAGGATCTGGAGTGGACCTAAAGCAAACTCCAGCAGACCTGCAGAAGAAGGGCCTGACTGTTAGAATACAAACTAACAAACAGAAAGCAATAGAATCAACATCAACAAAAAGGACGACCACACAAAAACTCCATCTGAAGGTCACCAACAGCAAACACCAAAGGTAGATAAATCCATGACAATGAGGAAAAATCAGCACAAAAAGGCTGAAAATTCCAAAAATCAGAAAGCCTCTTCTCCTCCAATGGATCACAACTCCTTGCCAGCAAGGGAACAAAACTGGATGGAGAATGAGTTTGACAATTGACAGAAGTAGGCTTCAGAAGGTGGGTAATAACAAACTCCTCCAACCTAAAGGAGCATGTTCTAATTCAATGCAAGGAAGCTAAGAACCTTGATAAAAGGTTAGAGGAATTGCTAACTAGAATAACCAGTTTGGAGAAGAACATAAATGGCCTGATGGAGCTGAAAAACACAGCAAGAGAACTTCATGAAGCATATGCAAGTATCAATAGACAAATCGATGAAGCAGAAGAAAGAATATCAGAGACTGAAGATCAACTTAATGAAATAAAGCATGAAAACAAGATTAGAGAAAAAAGAATGAAAAGGAACAAAGACTCCAAGAAATATGGGATTATGTGAAAAGACCAAATATCGGGGGAACCAGCCCCCAGTATTTCAACATAGGTTCTTTTCTATTTTCCCTAAGTGTCGGCCGGTCTGAGAAATAAAGAGAAAGAATACAAAAGAAAGAAATTTTACAGCTGGGTCTCCAGGGGTGACATCACATGTCGGCAGGTTCCGTGATGCCCCCTGAGCTACAAAACCAGCAAGGTTTTATTAGCAATTTTCAAAAGGGGAGGGGTGTACAAATAGGGAGTGGGTCACAGAGATCACATGCTTCAAAGGCAATAAAATATCACAAGGGCAGAGAGGCAGAGTGAGATCACAAGGCCAGGGTGAAAGTAGAATTACTGATGAAGGTCCATGTCCCACTGGGCACACATTGTCATTGATAAACATCTTAACAGGAAACAAACAGTGTTTGAGAACAGACAACCAGTCTGACTAGAATTTCACCAGGCTGGAATTTCCCAATCCTAACAAGCCTGGGGGTGTGCAGGAGACCAGGGCATATTTCATCCCTTATCTACAACTGCATAAGACAGACACATCCAGAGCGGCCAGTTTAGAGACCTCCTACTGGGAATGCATTCGTTTTCCCAGGTTATTCGTTGCTGAGAAAAGAATTCTGCAATATTTCTCCTATTCGCTTTCTGAAAGAAGAGAAATATGACTCTGTTCTTCCCGGCCCCGCAGGCAGTCAGAATTTATGGTTATCTCCCTTGTTCCCTGAAAATCTCTGTTATCCTGTTCTTTTCAAGGTGCCAGATTTCATATTGTTCAAACACACACGCTTTACAAACAACTTTTGCAGATAATGCAATCATCACAGGGTCCTGAGGTGACATACATCCTCAGCTTATGAAGATGACAGGATTGAGAGATTAAAGTAAACACAGGCATAGGAAATTATAAGAGTATTGATTGGGGAAGTGATAAATGTCCATAAATCTTCACAATTTATGTTCAGAGATGGCAGTAAAGACAGGCATAAGAAATTATAAAAGTATTAATTTGGGGAACTAACAAATGTCCATGAAATCTTGACAATTTATGATGTTCTGCCATGGCTTCAGCTGGTCCCTCCGTTCGGATTCCCTGACTTCCCACAACAACAAAACCTACATTTGATTGGTGTACCTGAAAGTGACAAGGAGAATGGAACCAAGTTGGAAAACACTCTTCAGGATATTATCCAGGAGAACCTCCCCAACCCAGCAAGACAGGCCAACATTCAAATTCAGGAAATACAGAGACTACCACCAAGAAAAAGAAAATTTCAGGCCAATATCCCTAATGAACATTGATGCGAAAATCCTCAATAAAATACTGGCAAACTGAATCCAGCAGCATGTTAAAAAGCTTATCCATCACAATCAAATCAGCTTCATCCCTGGGATGCAAGTCTGGTTCAACATATGCAAATCAATAAACGTAATCCATCAAATAAACCAAACCAACAACAAGAACCACATGATTATCTCAATAGATGCAAAAAAGACCTTCTATAAAATTCAACACCCCTTCATGCTAAAAACTCTCAATAAACTAGGTATTGATGGAACATATCTCAAAATAATAAGAGCTATTTATGACAAACCCACAGCCAATATCATACTGAATGGGCAAAAGCTGGAAGCATTCCCTTTGAAAACTGGCACAAGACAAGGATGCCCTCTATCACCACTCCTATTCAACATAGTATTGGAAGTTCTGGCCAGTGCAATCAGGCAAGAGAAAGAAATAAGGGGTATTCAAACAGGAGGAGAGGAAGTCAAATTATTTCTGTTTGCAGATCACATTATTGTATATTTAGAAAACCCCATCGTCTTAGCCCCAAAACACCTTAAGCTCATAAGCAACTTCAGCAAAGTCTCAGGATACAAAATTAATGTGCAAAAATCACAAGCATTCCTATACACCAATAATAGACAAACAGAGAGCCAAATCATGAGCAAACTCCCATTCCCAATTTCTACAAAGAGAATAAAATACCTGGGAATACAACTTACAAGGGACACGAAGACCGTCTTTCTGGGAATTACAATCACTGCTCAAGGAAATAAAAGAGGACACAAACAAATGGAAAACCAATCCATGCTCATGGATAGAAAGAACCAATATTGTGAAAATGGCCATACTGCCACAAGTAATTTACAGATTCAATGCTATTCCCATCAAGCCACCATTGACCTTCTTTATAGAATCAGAAAAAAACTACTTTAAATTTCATATGGAACCAAAAAAGAGCCTGTATAGCCAAGACAATCCTAAGCAAAAAGGATGAAGCTGGAGGCATCACGCTACCTGACTTCAAACTATACTACAAGGCTAGAGTAACCAAAACAGCATGGAACTGGTATGAAAACAGATATATAGACCAATGGAACAGAACAGAGGACTTGGAAAAAATGCCGCACTTCTACAACCATCTGATCTTTAACAAATCCGACAAAAACAAGCAATGGGGAAAGGATTCCCTATTTAATAAATGGTGTTGGGAAAACTCACTAGCTATATGCAGAAAACTGAAACTGGACCCCTTCCTTACAACTTATACAAAAATTAACTCAAGATGGATTAAAGATTTAAACATAAGACCTAAAACCATAAAAACCCTAGAAGAAAACCTAAGTAATACCATTCAGGATATAGGCATGGGCAAGGACTTCATGACTAAAACACCAAAAGTAATGGCAACAAAAGCCAAAATTGACAAATGAGATATGATTAAACTAAAGAGCTTCTGCACAGCAAAAGAAACTATCATCAGAGTGAACAGGCAACCTACAGAATGGGAGAAAATTTTTGCAATCTATCCATCTGACAAACAGCTAATATCCAGAATCTATAAGGAACTTAAACAAATTTACAAAAAAAAAAAACAAACAACCCCATCAAATGTGGGCAAAGGATATGAACAGACACTTCTCAAAATAAGACATTTATGCAGCAAAAAAGCACATAAAAAATGCTCATCATCACTGGCCATCAGAGAAATGCAAATCAAAACCACAATGAGATACCATCTCACACCAGTTAGAATGGCGATCATTAAAAAGTCAGGAAACAACAGGTGCTGGAGAGGATGTGGAGAAATAGGAACACTTTTACACTGTTGGTGGGAGTATAAATTAGTTCAACCACTGTGGAAGACAGTGTGGCTATTCCTCAAGGATCTAGAACTAGAAATACCATTTGACCCAGCAATCCCATTACTGGGTACCCAAAGGATTATAAATCATTCTACTATAAATACACATGCACATGTATGTTTATTGCAGCACTATTCACAATAGCTAAGAATTGGAACCAACCCAAAAGCCCATCAATGTTAGACTGGATAAAGAAAATGTGAAAATGTGGTGCATATACACCATGGAATATTATGCAGCCATAAAAAAGCATGAGTTCATGTCCTTTGCAGGGACATGGATGAAGCTGGAAACCATCATTCTCAGCAAACTAACACAGGAACAGAAAACCAAACACCGCATGTTCTCACTGATAAGTAGGAGTTGAACAGTGAGAACATATGGGCACAGGGAGGGGAACATCGCACTCCAGGGCCTGTTGGGAGGTGGGGGCAAGGGGAGGGATAGTATTAGGAGAAATACCTAATGTAGATGACGAGTTGATGGGTGCAGCAAACCACCATGGCATGTGTATACCTATGTAACAAACCTGCACATTCTGCACGTGTATCCCAGAAGTAAAAGTTTTTTGTGTTTTTTTTTAAAAAAAAGAAAGAAAGAAATGATGCAGCAGAGGAAACGGGTCTTGAAGTCTCCCAGCAGGAGTCAGCGAACAACTTAAATAAAGGAGAGAGCTTGGGCTGAGACTGGAAGGCTTGTCTGTGTAGATGACAGATGCTACTAAGGACGTCATCATTTATTGATCATCATGCCCCAGATATGGCCCTCCATACAATACATGGTTATCTCAATTAATCCCCACCACATCCCAATAACAGAGGCTCAGAAAGGTCATACGCTTTCTGGAAATGACAGAATTTCAACCTAGATCTCTGACTCCTAAGTGTATATTTTCAACTCCTATAGGATTCTGCCTTTTGAAATTGATACAGGCAGGCACAGTTGCCATTTTTTATTGCCCAACAAATAAAGCTACTCATAGTTTGTAAGTAATTGTCAAAGGAAAAGGAATACCACAGAGCTAAGAATTTGTATGGGCTGCGTGAGGCAGGGAGGGGTTGTATGGTAAGATTTGAAGCAACGGATGTTGCAAGCCGTTTGCTCACCTTGATGCGATTGCCACCATGAGCATGTGGAAAATAAGCAAACATGGTGGGTGAAATAACCATAAATGTAGCCATAGGAATTTCAGCAATAAAGAGACATGAAAATTCTTGCAAAGGGAAGGAGAAAGAAAAAATAGGGTACCATAGAGTAAAAGATGGAATTGAAAGGAAATGTTGATCAATGCAAGCACATTTGATGGTTTGTGTTTTATATATGTTATAGATATTTTCCGGGTTTTATATACACCCAAATATAAATGTTTATGGAATGTAAATAATAGTTTGAAAATTACATGGCACTTATATATATTTTTAAAATTGTGTTTTCAGCATTTATATATTGCCGTGATACTCCTGTGAAATCTTAAAGGAAAAAGTCTGTGAGATTAATGAGATCTTAAAACATATCTGCATGGTATGTGTGCTCTAGGGAGATAAGCGCTATATAAATACGATATTATAAAACGTTCTTCTCAGATGCGGTCCAGGGAAGAGTGGTGGCTAGGCATAAAAGGGGCTCACTGAAGATTTTTCTCTCCTTGAAAAGAGAGTTTGGGTGAGCAATATGCTACTTTGGCTGATTCCTTCAAAGATAGCTCAGATGGATTCTATACCTAAAGCAAACATTTTTTATAAACCCAGTTCCACTCTCCTAAAAACTAGTAGAGTGGTTGCAGGACTTTCTAGAGTGTTGGTACCCCCACACCCTACCACCGATGGGGCATGGTAGAGGCAGCTGGGGCCTTTAAAGTCCCTGATCCCAGGCTATAGCCCAGAACAATGACATCAGAATCACCCAGGGTGGTTTGTAAAGCTCCCTGAGGAGCTGAGCCAAGGTTGACATCCACTGACCTAGAATGCATTTGCTTAGCTCATATCCAAAACAAAGAAGAAAATAAGATCATATCATTCTTTGAACTTCTGGGGTGGAAATCATCTGTTTGGGTACTGAACCGCCAGTTCTCTCACATGGGTCAAATTCAACGGAAACAAAATGCAACGTTAATAGTAGAAAATGGCAAGCGGTTGTGACCCAAGAGGCAGAGTGGTATACAGACAAGAACTGGAGCAGCTGCTAGGAACCCAGGAAAGGATGTATGAGGTCAAGTGTCAATGGCACAGAACCAGCACTAAAGGAACTAGGAAATCAGAGACAAGCATTTAAGGAAAAGCGGCAAGGAAGGCCAATTAATTCTGCCAGCTTCATCTTCTTTGCCTTGGCAGAGTATCTCTGACTTCTCTGATGGTAAGGATTTCCCGTGGTGTATGTTAAACTTGCAAATTCCCAAGTTCGTCTCAGGCCCTCTGAATCCCTGTCTCCAGGAGAGGTACCTGGGAACCTGGGAAGCTGTATGTTTAACAAGAACCATTGTTTTTGTTGTTGTTGTTATTGTTTGTTTTGTTTTGTTTTAAGACACAAGGGATTGTTCTGTGTGTTGCCCAGACTGGAGTGCAGTGGCTCAGTCATTGCTCACTGCAACCTCAAATTCCTGGGCTCAAGGAATCCTCCTGCCTCAGCCTCCCAAGTAGCTAGGACTATAGGTACCTATCACCACGCCTGGCTATTTTTTTTTTTTTTTTTTTTTTTTTTTTTGTAGAGATAGGGTCTTTCTATGTTGCCCAGGTTGATCTGGAACTCCTGGGCTCAGGCAATCCTCCCACCGCAGCCTCCCAAAGTGCTGAGATGATAGGTGTGAGATGCCTATCATCCAATGGCCTCCTTTTACTTTTTTAATGGTGCAGTTTGTCCCTTGACATCTAAGTAGCTGCAAGTGACACCTAAGACCAGGAGACCAAATTGAACCGAGTATCAAGTAAACACTCTTCTATTGCTGAATCTGACCAGCCTGGCCCTGACCAAAAATAACAATGGCCCAATTTACAAGCTATTCTCTCTACTTGTTGCAGAAGCAGGAAGATTTTGCCATCAATTATGCTCAAGCCTTGATCCTAAATTTTTCCTCACTTTTAAATTCTCTGGAGTTTCCATCATATAGCAAATCACTGGTCACTGTAGCTATGTAAGCTGATTTCACTATAAGCATTGCTTCATAAGAGTAGCTGTACCCGTTGGGCAATAAAAAATGGCAACTGTGCCTGCCTGCATCGATTTCAAAGGGCAGAATGCGGTAGGACTTGAGAATATACCCTTAGGAGTCAGAGACCTAAGTTCAAATTCTACCATTTCCAAAAAGCATATGACCTTTCTGAGCCTCTGTTGTTGAGATGTGGTAGGGATTAATTGAGATAACCATGTATTGTGTGGAGGGCTGTGTCTGGGGCATGATGAGTGATCAATAAAATCATATAACAGAATCAAGACTTAAACTGGGAAAAAATTTATAAGAGCTTAAGTTTTTTATTCCCAAATCTTTCTTTTCACCCAAACTATTTATAAATATGAATTATGAAATTTATGGCCAATGTTTGATATAAGCATATTGAATAAAGATTTAATCACCACATATTTTTAGGCAAGCTGAAACTAGAGAAAGCAGTACTGTTATTCCAGTCTCAATCTTGGGGACAAATGAACATTTGTCACTCGTTGTGGCTTCGGTTTCCCTCAAGCATGTGAGTGCATGCTCCTGGTCTACATGAAATTAGGCCAGAGGAAAACTGGTAGTATAAAAGTGCAATTCCTATTGATCTTACCACATTGGCAGCAAGTTCTATAAATGTGATATTACACTGAAAACAATAACACTGCAGCTGTTCTCTTTGAGGTGGGCACTATTCAAGGGAGCCTATTACACTCACGTGATTACTGCACATACACATGCTCCATGTCAACACGTGTGAATATAAGCCAGAGAGAAGCAGAAACTTCTAGTTTCTTGGATCAAACTATAATTTGTAAGCAAGCATATAGAGAAGCAGTAGTTCATTCGAGGATATGTATGAGATTTTACCAAGCTTTTAAGGCAAAAGGTGAGTACAGTGATACGTTAGTAATTAACGAGACATGTAGCATATAATTAATTCATAAAGGCTTTGAGCAGTGCACAGTGGGACCTTAATATGTCTATTTGCCTCAAAAATCAGCTGCAATTTCCGTTCTATTTTCTTAGCTGCAATTTTCTTCATAGCACTTAACTACACAGGATAGCCTTGCAATAAACCCAAAAATTATCTCCTGCAACCTAGGGTAACCCCTCTGCAACAGGTACTTAGTGATGGTGTGCCTTTGGTGAGCTCTATAACCTTCTCTGCCTTAATGTTCTCATCTCTTAAATGGGACAGTAAATGTATTGCTCACATACAATTATTGAGATAAATATGTTAGAAAATTGATGTGGCCAGACTATTTAGAAAGCAGAGTTCAGCTTGCTCAGTGACAAATGGTGTTAGTGTAAGCTTTGTTCCCAATTCACTAAAAAAGATAGCTCTGATAGAAACAATGTAACAGACTGACTACCGTGGAATGAATGGTATACATGTTTCTATAAATTAGATCCAATTGTAACAGAATCAGTTTACATTAAATCTGTCACTTGGTAAAGAGAGAAAGAAAATTGATGCAAAATGGATAGCTTAATTCTTGGTACACGAATGTAAATTATTATAATACATCATCATATAGACTACATATGGCATAATATATCCATTACAAGATTATATTTCATATAATAAAATTATTATAGTTATTTTTATTTTGTAGTCTACTTCTTAAAATTTTGATTTTTATTTAAAATAAGCTCTCCTCCAAATATTGGAAAAACAGGCTTGATTTTTGTACATTTCTTCAGATTGCTACTTAGTCATAGTAGTTGACCTCATTTAAGCCAGCCTTCTGAGCCTTGTTATCAGATTTTTTTAACTCATTTTTTTCAAGTGGCAATATACGGGGACAGTGTATTTGGCTTCCAAAAAGGAAAGTAGGAAAATCATTTCTCCCTATTAAACCTGCATTGTCTTCACTTTTATTCCGTCAGCCTTCCTTTTATACCAGACTACCCCTATGATCGAAAGCACTGACAGTTGAAAGAGGCCAAGGGCCCCACATGGAAGAATCGGGGGCACTCACTAATCCCAGGCCCAGAGAGGTCTTAGAGGAATTATGAGAAGCAACGGCTGGAGTATGTGTGTCTGGCATTGCCCTTTCTTTTGCTGGTAGATTATTAACCTTTATCTTTAACTTTGTCAAAGTGGATAATTCATATAATCCCTTGACATCCTTTCAACCAACAAAACTATATCATCCTATATAATGTGACTACTGGGAAGATATATCTCTTGGACTTCTTCTCCAGAGCACTTCTAATCTGGTTTGATTTTAAGATTATTTGGTCTTAAATCTTTCTACAAGATATGAAGCTTAAAGCACAGTGGGGACACTTTTCCCGAGACATAGATGCTCTAATCATACTTTCCTGACTCTAAAATTCTCCTGAATAGATTAAGACAAAACTTTATTACGATCACTCTTAATGTCAAGTATTCTCCGGATGTCCTGCCCTCTTCAGAAAGCAGAGAATATTTCAGGTATTAAAATTGGCTCCCAGCGGGGTCTTGGGTGCAGAGGCTGCGACGAACCTGTTGAGTGAAACTCCTCTTTACTAGAGGGAAAAATTAGTGTGTCAACTATAGCCTGATTGCAAACCAAAAGCCTTTTGTTCATGCCACAAAAAAAATGGAGTTTGTTGCACATCTAACAGGCCAAATGCTTATGCTGGGTTTTAGTCTTTAAGAAAGGAGTTGCCTTCATAATGGAAAGCATGCAAAAATAAATTTTAAAAACATAGAAAGATATTTGCTTCTGTCCCTTTGAACAGCTTTTTTTTAAGAATGCGTATTTGAAGTGCATTCTTAAATTTTGAAATTTTTTTCGAATGTGGTAATATTAGCTAGGCTGCATAATGAAAGGGATTTTGTCCATTTAGTTTACTAACAAGGCAAATAGCGGTGTGTTCTTTCTCTACATATATAATTTTTGAAATGAATCCATAAGGAATACTTAATAAATGTATCTGTCTTCAGAATGTAGGTAATCCTTTTTGAAGATATTCAAATGTTGGTCATTCAACCTAGTTAATACAATAGCAAAGGTTATAAAGTCTGAACAAGAAAGCATTGTAGATATGCTCTATTTTATAAAACCAATCCGGTAAAACTGACATTTCATTAAAAAAATCACAATTCCTTTCTTAAAATGAAGCATCAAAACTGTCATGAAATACATTAAATTGTATTTGCTCTAGAGGCATGTTTAATCACAGTTTCCTCGCTGAAATATCCTAATCAATGTGCAGCTTTTATCAGACCTCTTCTGAACTTATTCTCCTTGGGGACTATTGCCCCAAATGTGAGATCCAGCCTACAGACATGCCTGTCAACCTGAAGAGTAAACCTCTCTAGCCCTTTGAAGGCTTCTCCTCTGAATACCACAATAGTTAGAGGTTTTTCTTCTCAACTGCTCTCAAAGGCATCATCATCTACTGTGCCCATGCTGCCTGGTCATTGGGAAGAATGCTAATGACTTTCTGGCCATAAGCCCTTTAACTATTGAATTGAAGAGTCAAAATTTGGAAATCCCATGCTAGATTTTTCCAACATATTTTCAAGAGAAGGAAAAGAGAAACAGTATGGATGGAATATGTAAGATAGCTTTCTGGAGTGATAAGTCCTTTGTGTCTTTTTTCAGTTTAAGAGAACATTATTCAGATAAATGTGATGTGACTTATTAATGCAAAATTTACCCAACTCAGATTGGCAGCAATAAAAGACAAGCTATGCCATTGTTTTGCTTGTTGTTATTGTTTTAATCTAGAGGAACAGTTTCTATTCTGAATTTTAAAATTGGTTGAAATTTCAACTGACATATAGAAAAATATACATAACTTGCAGTCTGTTCATCTATACAGAACATCGAAGTGAATGACAATGAGGTGAGGATATCACTGAATGAACATTATTTGTCAGACGTGTTGCAAGGAAATATGCTAAAAACTAGTGTTGTGGGGATGGAACGATGGATGGATGGGTAGGTAGGTAGATGGATGGATGAGAAAGTATAGGGTAATGGCTATGAGAGATTTGAATAAAAACTATTTGGATTCAAATCCTGGCTCTGCCACTTACTACCTCTATAACTCAGGGGAAAAAATGCATGAACTCACCTATAAAATGGAGATGTTGAAGACAAAGATAAGACAATGATGATGATGATATGTACCTCAGAGAGTTTTAAGTGAGAATTAAGTGATTTTTATAGACTACACAGCACTTAGAACAGTGTGTGGTACATTTTAAGCACAAATGTTAGCTTTTATTATGTTAGGAAAAAAGAAAGCCAAATTTTATGCTAAGCCATATTGCTTACATCTTGTTTTTCTACAAAGCTTTGGAGTTTACAAAGATTGTTCACATATTTAAATCATTTGATAGCCAATACAGGCATATGATTTAGATATAATCATAACAATTTTACATTAAAAAAACAACCCAACCAATTGGGAAGCAGGATATCTTGCATTAAATTGAATTTTAATTTAATGGAAAGCCTGATGCTAGAGACCTGGGCTCGAAAAATAGCTTTGAAAACTCTTAGAGACTTTGGAAAAGTCACTTAACTTCTCTGACCCTGGCTTATTTATCTATAAAATGGTGATACATTCATTGTAACGTTGTTATAAGTTTTGTTCTACTACTCAATCAATATTTATGGTGTGCCTCCTATGTACCAGGCACTGTGCTAAGAACCAGACATACTGGCACAGCATTACAAATGCCTGGTATTTCAACAAATCAATAAATATGCACTGTTTTCATTGCTTTTATCATCAGCTGCTATTCTCCCAGGGAGAGGCCAGGAAAATCAGGTCTTGAATCAGAGCTTGCTCTTTGTAATAATTTAATGAAATTTCCTAAAATTCTCCTGATGGGTAAATGGTCAGCAGTGTCTTAGGGAGGCAATAGTCTGCCTGTAGACAGACGGCTTGACCACTGAAGATTTCAGTGGGAATTGACTTCAAACATGCATTAGTTTTGCTTTTTTGTTTTTATTTTAAATTAACATTATTGAGGTTTAATTTACATACAACAAAATGCACCCATCTAAAGCGTAGTTTGATGCATTTTCACAAGCGGGTACATCTCTGTAATCACTCTCACAGTCAAGATATAAAATTTTTTATCACCTCAAAAAGTTTCCTTATGCCCCTTTGCAGTCAATAGCCCCAACCCTGTTTTGAGACAACCATCAGTTTAGTTTAGTTTTGTCTATTAAAGAATTTCATAAAATAGAATCATTCAGTGTGTACTCTTTTTATGTTTGGTTTATTTGGCTGATCATGTCAGTGAGGTTCATCCGTGTTGTAGCATTTACCAATATTTTGTTCCTTTTTATTGCTGAATAGTATTTCATTGCATGGATTTGCCACAATTTGCTTATTCATCCATCTGTTGATAAATATTTGGTGACTTCTCAGTTTGGGGTGATTATGAGTACAACTGCTATGAGCAATCATGTGGACATGTTTTTATTGCTCTTGGGGAGACAGTGGAATTCACTGAATCATATGATCAGTGTATTTGTAAACTTAACTTCAAAAATGTTTTCCAAAGTGGCTGTATATGAGTTCACCCCAACTGGCCACGTAAGAGAGTTCCAATCGTTCTATATTTTTGGCAACAATTAGCTTCATTTTTAATGATGAAATAAGCAAAAATAGTAGAAGGAACTCCATGTGGACAGGCATAGGACTCTCAGAAGCCACCACAGTGTGCACCTCTAAGGGAACTTTTCTAAGGTTAGTCCAAAGATTCAGAAATAACAGTCTTCCATACATGGTGAAGAGAGCGAGAAAAAGACACACAGATGGGTGAGGGCAAAGTCTTCCATACGTAGTGAAGAGAGTAAGAAAAAGTCACACAGATGGGTGAGGGCAATTGAGGAAAACAAGAAAGAGTAAAAAATAGCAGTCTATCCTTAAAAAGGCAAATTATGTCTGTCAGTGACCAAGGTGGAAAAGAATGGAAAGAGAAGCTCCATAAAATTTACAGAATTCTTTTAATTGCCTATTCACAAATCTATCATATCTATTACAAAATATGATATTTTAAAAATACTACACACAACAAAATCTATTTTTTTTCCAATGGGTAAGGCTGGGGTTTTGTCGGTGCTTTTATTACAAAGTTTTACTCAAACATCCAGGGCTTGGCAGTAGCTGCCAAAGATTCTTCATTAGCCCACCTCTAAGAATGTAAACACTGAAATCAGTTATTTTAGGGTCAGGCACTGGAAAAGATGCTAATAAAATAAATTGACCAGCTTACTACGGATGAGAAAACTCTAAAACCTGATGGCTTTTTGCTGGTAACTGCAGCAGTAAATTCAGGCAATCCTGGATAAATGTCAGGCTGCTTTCGGGAAGAAAATGCCTCCATCAAGCTACCAAAATATTATGAAAAGGGGTACGGAATTGCTGTAGGGAGAAGTGTTCGGGCTCTCTCCTCTCTTTTCCCAATCTCCTTCACAAAGCAATGTTAGACATGATGTATTTTGTATTATTAATACCATTGTGCCTGTATTGGATTTGAAGTTTCCGGAACATGCATCTATATTTAATTTAGGTATCTGTCTGTTTCTGTAGAGAAGGGAATATGAATGGCTGGTGGGAATAGCTATCTATATTCAGTAGTGTCCAACATAATTATTTTACATGCTTTGTGTTCCCTTACAACCTTTTATTTCTTTAGCACGTATTCATTCACTTAACAAACAGTAATTGAGTGCCTACTGTGTACTAGGCATATTCTAGAAGCTGAGGATAGAGTCGCAGACAAGACAAAGTCCCTACCCTCATGGAACTACCATAGAGAAAAGGGCGAAACACAATAAACACACCACTGAACATATATCGTGTAACATAAGGCTAAGGGCAGTGGAAATGATTAAGAAGGGTAAGGCATATAGGATGTGCTATGTAGAAAGCACTTTATAATATCAGACAATCAGGGACCTAATTAGGTTATTATTGAGCAGAGCAGACCGGGTACATACCAGGGGAAAGAGCAATTCCAGCAGCGGGAACACTCAGGGCAAAGAGAATGAATCTGGAACACACTTGTCACTTTCGGGGACACTGCAGTGTCACAGAAAGAGCAAGGAGGCCAGTGGGCAGAAATAGCAAGGGTGGGTCAGGGACAGCGTGAGGAGATGAGGGCAGAAGGGCAGCAGGATCACGTCTTAGGGAATATTTTGTTTCATTCAGTAAGAACGTTGGTGTTTACCATCACTGAGTTGGAGCCATTGAAGTACTTCTGTGTTGAGAGCTTCCTTGTGCCCCATCTTTCTCTGTGCACTAGGATGTGACAGGGTGTAAATAGGATAGGTAAAGTTTGCACCATCCCTGAGCTTCTACACTAGCTAAGCATGTGCTAAGGACAGGTGATAAAGATTTGGAGGGCTCAATTTTTCCATGAAGGAGTTCCTGGTGTAATTGAGACAGGGAGAGTAAATGGAAATTACATTACAGTGTCATAAGGGAATATTCAGTGCATCATGAGGCTACAAATCAGAGGCATCTCCCACTCACTAGGAGAAATCAGGAACAATTTTTCTGAGACAAGTGTCCAGGTGAGAGTGGTCAGCACTGGAAAGAGATTGTGGAATGACACTCAAGAAAGGGAATACCACATACTAAGGGACAAACATGTGGCCACTTGGCCTGCCTGGAGACCTGTGAGTTTTTCAACATGATAGACACACAAAGCATGCCTATAATGGGGAACAGGGAAGAATTCCAGGAATGTTAGGAGATGAGTCTAGAGATTATGCTCAGATTATTCCTAAGATTTCTAATGAGTCTACATAATGTGTCCGGGCAAAGCTACTGTGGCTGGCATAAGGCTCCTCCACCAATCCATTGAGGCTGTCTTTAGGATATAAGAGCCAATTCATTGAACAGCTGGTTCAAGTAGAAATTTCTGAATAATAAAATCATCAATGTTGGTAAAAGACAAGATTTTTTTACGGTCTTGAATGCCAGGCAGAAGAGTTCAAACTTTATCCAGTGAGGATTAGAAATGATGGAAGGTTTTAAAATATGGTAAATGCACTTTTTGGGAAGTTTAATTTTACAGACATGTGCAAATCATATTAGAATTGGGAGAAAACAAGCAGGAGATAGGAAAGCACATTAGAACAGTGGCCAAGGCCTGGAGAAAAAGGGAGACATGGAAAAGACATTGAGAAGGTGGTCTCTGGTAGGTAATGGAAAATGGAAAAGGGGACATGAACTGCTCTTGCCTTCCACTATTCATTTCTCCTTTTGGTAGGTAGCAGCAACTGGGTTTTCCTTTGGAGGAATTACCTCTATCCCATGGTATCCCAAATTAATACAGCTTTTAATCAGAATTTCCAAGCCCTATTTGGCCAAAGTTTGGCCACGTGACCACAGGTGAAAAGAAGAAACTAATTAAATATTCAGAAGCCTAAGAAAGGCTGTTTTCTGAGAGATCCTAGTAAAGAAGAATTATAACACAATTTCAGTTAAACAAGTATTTCTTTTAAACAACTTTTATGGGTATATAAGAATGCAAAGAACAAGGTCTCTATCCTCAAACTTCCTACACTTTAGATGTCTCTAAGGTCCTTCTTTCCCTCTGCCTTCATTTACACTCTTTCTCTTCTTAGCTTACATGACCAGCAATGATAGAACAAAATAGCAAAGGCAATGGGAGGCCCAAGAAGTACTGAGAAAGTCACACATGCTGAAATTTAGTGGGTGGGAAAGAAAGTGTCTAACCAGTTCAGGCATAAAACATAATCTCAAGGCATACAAAAATGTTCTGTAATGAGTCTGTATATTTAGAAAGTCAATAACTAATTCTTTTGAGTATGTCTGTACATATGTATACATTTCTAAATTAACATTCTCAAAGAAAGAATGGATATCCGTTAAAACATATCCTAGAAGATATAATTAGCTGATGACAAACCCCAAGAAAAAAAATCAACATAAACCTATAAATAGCTGGAATATTATAAGGATAGTGCAGTAAGAATATCTATTGATTAATCAGTAACTAATGAAGATAAATAAAATATTATTAATAATGGCTCTATTTAAAGCATATTCCATGCCTAGGTACTCAGCTAGAGAATTTTTATGCAGCATCTTCTTTAACCCTAACCACAAACATGTGATATGGGTGTTGTCTGCATTTTATAGATGAGGCTCAAAGAAGTGAATTAGCCTCTTCAAAGTCACAGTCAGTACATAACTAAGCCAGAATTTGAGTCCAAATATCTCTAACCCCAATTCTAATATTTTGACCCTATTCTTAAATAGTAGTAGTCAAAAAAGTTAGGTTTTGGGTAAGTAAGTAGTCATTCTCCGGCCTGAATAAACAGAATGAATACTGTTCAAAATTTCTGTAGGTTGAATCTAGGAGACAGGAAGCATGTGGCCCCAAACACTTCATTCTAGAGCAAACAGTCAACCAACAAATCCAGTTCAACTTTTCAAAGACTTCTTTCCTTATAGGTATGATTTTACCGCTGACTGTACATCCGACCCAGCCAGGGAGCCTTATAAAAATATGTATGTCCCAACTTCATACCTAAAAATTCTAATGCACCAGGTCCAGGGTAGGGATTTGACAAGGAAAAAATGTGGAGTAAAAACATAAACCTCTCCTGGGAGAATCTAATGGATAGTCAAGGATAAGCATTACTGCCTTAGATAGCTAACAGTCAAATCCATCATTAAATGGACCCCATGCATCACGGGAGGTGGCTGAACTGAATGGCTTTATGCAACAATCGATTTATCTAGATAAATAGAGACATGATTTTCAACAGGCCAATGTTCATGGAGTCAGAAGTCACTGGGCATTGATGGCAGGGGTACTTATAAGCTGCTGGAGTAAGCTGACATGCAGGACTATGGGTAGGTGAACAGATGGCACACAGAAGGGAAGCTTGAAATGCCACAATTTACTGTTAATTTTTTTTTAATACGCCAGCAAAAGAGAAAGGGGTTTTATTTGCAGCTTATTTCTCTGCCTACAGAGCCATGGATGTCACTGGCCATCATAGCAAGCCAAAGTATGGCTCTCCTGGGTGGAAGGATTGGACATGCCGTTCCTCAGTCACTCCACTCACAGGCACGCATGCAACAACCCAGAATCTGCCTCACTGAACACCAGGAGGCTGCCTTAGCTGGACACATAACAGAATTCTGCTGCCTAGTCCCAGCTAAGGCTTCCTACCTTCTCCACACTCTTAATAGACATATGCTGAGCACTGTACCAGACAGTGGTCTGGATGCTTTATGTGCTATTCATTACTTAATCCTTGCCATGAGCCTGTGTGGTAGGTAAAATCCTCCACATTTTTACAGAGGAAGAAACTGGGCCACTTGGCCAAGAATCCACACAGCTAGTTAAGTGCAGACCAGGGTTTCAATCCCAGGTCTTGCCATCTCCATAGCATAGACGTTCAACCACTGTACCACTGTTGAATATGCTTCTCAAGGGCAGAACCCCATTCTACCAATTGAAGATCTCATAACCCACTTGAAAGACAGCCAGTATGAGTTGCCTTGGATTTTTCTGTAATTACATCTGTCCTCTGATCCTTTTTTCTTTGCTTGGGAGAGAAAAAATGCCTTTGATCCTTCTAAGGTATATTCATGTAGTGCTTAAGCATAGTGTCTGGCACTTAGTAAACAGGCACAGTTATCACTGTTGTGGCCGTTGTTTTGTTGTTATTACCATTGCCTCCTTGACCAGCCTATCTCTATTTATTTTCTGAGTTCCATTTCTTCCTTTTGCTTTAGAAATTTACTCATATTTTGGCATTGATCCTCATATTTTCTCGGTATATACTCTTTATGGGGCTTTGTATCTGTTCTTCCAGCTTTAACTTTTATTGTTACCCCAAAAAGCTGCACCTGTAGCCTCGACTGCCCTTCAGTACACCACATCCTTATTTCTCATATACTCGCCACAAATATCTCCATACAAATATCTTGCCAGCCAATGAAATTCAAAATATTTGAAACTGAAAGAATTATATTCCTTCGGAAATCAGCTTCTCCTTTTTTTTTCTTTTGAGTTAAATTTTAATGGCACACTAAGTCCCATAGTAACTCAGGTTAAACATTTCATAATTACATCTAATTCCCTCCTCTCCCTTTATCCTCCATAACCAATCAATTACTAAATATTCTTGTGTCTACCTGGCCTCAGCCTCTCCCTGACAATCTGATTGCCCCCACATTCAATCAGAGACTAAAGAGATGTTAGCCTAGATACTTGAGGGACCTTCCTTTCTTCTAATTCACCTTCCTCTAAGACACTCTAGACACAACTGTCATATCAGTATTCCCAGATATGCCAGGTGCATCTCTCCACTGCTAAAAATCCGAAGTGTTGTTCCTTAACTGACAATGGGTGGGGAGGTGGATCTTTAAGTAATTTTTAGATCAGTAATTCATGTAGCCTCTTCTTTGTAGTAGTCAACTACGCATGGCTCTACCCTCAATGATATCAGCATGCTTAACTCATGAGTAGGGATGCCTGTCTGACCTGAGATAATCGACGTCTTATCTTCCCTTTTGTCACAGGAGTTACCCAAGAGTAGCCCAAAAAAGGAGACAGGAAATGGCGTTCGTAAACAATGATGGCTAACAAATCCAAATACTACCTCCTCTACATCTCTGGCCCATGATGAGCTTTGCTTCTTACTCCTCTAACTTCCTTTCATTTATTGATTGCATTTATTCTGTTTCGATACTTCTTATTTTTTGTTTTTGAGACAGGGTCTTGCTCTGTCGTCCAGGCTGGAGTGCAGTGGCGTGATCTCAGCTCACCGCAACCTCTGCCTCCCTGGCTCAGGTGACCCTCCCACCACACCCTCCGGAACAGCTGGGACCACAGGCCCGTGCCACCACCCCCGGCTAGTTTTTGTATTTTTTGTAGAGTCGAGGTCTCGTTATGTTGCCCATGTCGATCTCAAATTCCTGAGCTCAAGCAATCCTCCCACCTCAGCTTCTCAAAGTGCTGGGATTATAGGCATGAGCCACTGCACCCGGCCCTGTTTTGATCCTTTTGTGTTGCCTTATATTATTAGTTCTTTTACAAGGTATACTGTCCTCTCTTTGTATTCAGAAAATCTCAAAGAACTGGCCTTCTCAACTCCAGATATTCCGCGCTGGCCTTAAATAGTGCTTGGCCCTACCAGATACTCAGTAAGTATTATTAGAATCTAGTGTCTGGTTCATGCTTATTTTGGATTCCCTACCTATTTGGGATGAGACTTAGAGCAAGGTTTCCTCAGTGTGGCTATTTGTATCAGGTGGCACTTTTTTGGTTTTGAGTGATTTAAAACACACCTCATCTTGACTTAAACACTTTGACTGATGTTGCTGAAATACCTAGACATAGATTTCAAGTCAGACAAGCCTGATCAAGAAGCTCAATTGATACATCAAGGATCCAGTTTCTTTCCATCTCTCCTCTCTGCTTTCCACGGTGTCAGCTTCATTCTCAGGCTACACATGGCAGTGCCCAACAGCTTCAGGCTTTCCCTGGCTATAGCAAACAAAATGTCCACTACAATTCCGCGGCTCACACATCTTTATCCACTGTCTTCAGAGGAAAAGAGTCATTTGCAGTAGCTCTAGGTTTTAGGATTTACTCTCTACCATTGGCCTGAATGGTACAAATGTGGATCTATCTTTTAAAAATAACCACATGGTGGAGAAGAGGCGGAAATTAAATACACAGAAGGAAATTTGGGTACTGGTGGCAGGAAAAGAGTAAAATTAATTTTTAGGCTGAAACCAATAACTTCACTACATTGATCATCAGAATCACCAGATAAACAAAAAATTCAGATTTATGGGCCCTATATCAAAACTTCTGAATCAGAATCTTGTTCTAAAGTATACGATCTGCATTTTATAAAACCCACTCAGGTAATCCAGACTGTTGGATCAAAGCATCTTGCTTCTGTCTCTTCCTTTATTTGCTTCTGTAACACAGAACAACAATCCAGATATACATTTAAAGGATATAAAATAATGCTTAGAAAGAAATATGAGTACCAAGGAAACTAACTCTGTAAATATAACAGTGTAATTATTTTCAAAATTGCATTTCTGCCTGTAACCTCATCTAAAATAAAAGCATATGAGCTGCAGGGATGTCTGATTCTGATCTTTCAGAGTTACTAACACAGATTTATTCTCTTAGATGGCATGATGAGCAGTTGCATCTTTAAGGGGAGTCGAAATCTATCCTCCTGGGTACCCTGGCCCCATCCTGAAAGAGTCACAGATATAATATCACAAAGAGAGATTCGATATAAATGGAAGTTTCTTCTGATGAAATAAAATAATCAGAAACTTTGCAGGCATTTGCATAAGTGTGACAGGAATGTTAGAAGGATGAAGTGCTAAGAAATCCAAGTTCCCTGCTGGCACAAAACCTGCTCTCAAACACTGGCTTCAGAGCATTCACTTGAGCAATTCTAATACAGCTTGCTATGCCAATGAAGTTGCAGAATGCTCCCTTGAGCTTCTCTGGCTCAGAAGAGATCCTATGCAACACCAGAGCAGTGCGTCTGGAGAGGGAAAAGAACAGAACAACTGTGCAGCCAGCTCCCATTCCTCACCTGCTGGCATGAAGGTTTAATATGCTCAACTGATTAAACTTAGACAAACAACCAAAAAACATGAAAACATAAAGGGAAGAGAGATGTGAGGGACAGGAGAGTGGCAGGTTGCTGGAGGGACTCACTTTAGCTCATCCTCTTGAATCATGTCGGCTCTCTTATGGTGAGCAGGTCATTTTCCTATCTTCTCCCAGCTGTGTATAGTCTTGCTTCCTTTCCATTTACCCACCTCTCAGCCACTGTCTACCAGTCTCTCTCCCTTCTTCATTCTTCCTCCCTCTCTCTCCATCTCAAGTGTTCTGAGGAAGCCGACATGATGGATAACAGATGTTCTTTGACATATTGTGTCATTTATCACACAACAGCCCCAATCCTGCTAACAGGGCCTTTCCCATATGTCACTGTCGACTTTTACACGGCCCCAATGCATCACAAAGAAATGATTTAATACAACGTGCTGTAATTCCTGAGTCACAGCTCAGTGGAGGGGTTTGGGACACCAAGCTCCCTTTCCTTTCCACTTCATTTATTTGTTTCAACTGGCTCTTGTGCCTGATAAATGGATGAATGAACTCATCTGAGGTCAGGTGGAGGGAAAAATCATCCACAGAATTGTGCTTCAGGTTGGAAGAAAAAGGGAAGGTAGGTCTAGAGTGGAAGGCAGGAAATGCAGGCTGCACTCTATTACCACACTCGCTAGCAGGCACTTGTTTATTTTCTATGGAGCAGGGCATCTGCCATACTTAACAACAAGGAGTGCTCAGTGGTGAAATTCTATAAATTCAGACTGACATGGGAATGCCCCACTATGTCCCCATAGGGAAGAGAGTTGACCACATCAACTGCAAGGGAAGTTCCCCTGACCAAGCCTTCACTGAGGGCTGCTCCTGCTTTGGCTGAAGCAAAAGGGTTTTGAGGTATTTCCTGTTATAATCCATTCATCCCAGAAGCATCGCTATAGCAAAAAGTCATATCTTTGTAAGCACCAAAGGCTATCGCACATTCACACACTTTATGGATTTCTTTCTCTCCAAATCCTCATGGCTGACTTGCTACTCCTGTCAGCTTGCCAGTGGGCTGCTCTCCCCCAGGGTGATGGGCTTCAAGTCAAGCTGAGTGCCAGTGTGATTGTTCTTGACCCCTGTCTGAGGCCTTTAATGTAAGCCACATCCATTCCCATGTGAAGCAGATAGGAAGATGCACACGGTAATAATACAGATTTTTTTCACACCCCAACTCAGACAGGCAAAGACAACGTGGTTTCCACCTTTTTATATATAAGCACCCACCCCACCAGATAATTAAAATCTTAAATTTGCAATCTAATGTATCTCAATTTATTTTTTTGTTAAAATTGTCTTTGGAGTTAAAACAACTTTGTGGGAAACCAAATTAAGTGAACTCACAATTTAACTTTCAATTAAATTTTCTCCCCTCCTTCCTTTTTCCCAAGATGGAATGTGGTTGTCATGGGACTGTGAAGGCATGGGGAGTGGGTGGCCCCTTGTCTTGTGCCGGTCTTTTGACTGCAAAGGGCTGGGCTGGCTTTTAGGTGTGAGGTGCTGGCCCTGGTGCTGACTCCCAGCACGCTCTCCCTTTCTGCTGCTGGATGTTTCTGCTGGTTTTCTTGCTGTTATTCATAGCTCTGCTTTTGCTGCATGGACAATGCTCCCAAGAATCCTAAGAACCACCTTGGTTCTTAGTACCTGGAACTCCCACTCAGGTCTTAGGCAGGTTGGCCTGCCCCCAGATAGCTTTTGGCCCTAGGCTCACACTACCCTGTAGTGAACCCTTTGGGCAAGCTCTCCAGCTAGATTTCCAGGAACTCTCCACTTCTGAGAGTCATGTGAAAACTTTCAGGTCCTTTCCCATCATGCAATAGCTGAGTGAATCCAGGTAGGGCTAACCCCAGCTCTTCTTCTCCCTGAACACTAGAGTAAGAATTCCTATCCAAGTGACTTATTGGGGCGGGATATTCTTTGAAGAAAAGCGGAATGAGGAAACCCAGCAAGAGGGGAGAATAAAGCCAGTGAGATTGTGTTCTCCAACAGATATATCAAAAAGAAATGCTCAACAATGCTAATCATCAGGGAAATGCAAATCAAAACAGTGAGATATCATCTTACCCCAGTTAGAATGGCTATTATCAAAAAGACAAAAGATATCAAGTGCTGGCAAGGTTGTGGAGAAAGGGGAATGCTGGTACACTGTTGGTGGGAATGTGAATTAGCACCACCTTTATGGAAAACAGTACTGATATTCCGCCATAAACTAAAAACAAATCTATCATATGATCCAGCAATCCTACTACAAAGTATTTACCCAAAGGAAAGAAAATCAGCATATCAAAGTGATACCTGCACCCTTATGTTTATTGCAGCACTAGTCACAATAGCTAAGATATAGAGGAGTCAACCCAAGTGTCTATCAATGAATGGATGGATAAAGAAAATGTGGCCTATATATATGCAATGGAATACTATTCAGTCATAAAAAGAGTGAAATCTTGTCATTCATGGCAACACAGGTGAGTTTGGAGGACACTATGTTTGGTAAAATAGGGCAAGCACAAAAAAAGAAATACTATGTTTTCTTTCATACATGGAAGCTAAAAATGTTGATCTCATAGAAAGAGAGAGTAGAATAGCAGTTACCGGAGGCTGGGAAGGGTAAGGGCAAAGGGGGAATGGTGAGAGGTTTGTTAATAAACACAAAATACAATTAGATAGGAGGAATAAATTCTGGTGTTCTGTAGCACTGTAGGGTGACTATAATTAACGATAATTTATTGTATGTTTTTAAATAGCTTGAATTTTGAATGTTTCCAACACAAAGAAATGATAAATATTTGAAGTGATAGATATGCTAATACCCTGATTTCATCATTACACATTGTATACATGTATCAAAATATCACATACCCCGTAAGTATGTGAAATTATTGTGCATCAATTAAAAGTAACAAAAGTGGAAAAAAGAAAAGAATGTTATCTCAATAGGAGATTCCCATCCATCTGATCACACAGGGAAACTAAGAGCACAAACTGTACCCCCAGCAGCCATGAGTCCCATCTGGAGATCCCTGGTGCCCTGCGGCAGATGGTCATTGCAGAAGGGCCACAGGGGCTGAGTGGAGAGAGAGCCACTAGGTTTCTCCGGCTCAGTGACTTCTGTCTAGCTGAGGGCAACAACAGAAGAGAACAACAGTTTCTCCTTGTCAGACAATACAGTATCCGGGGAGAGATGCACAGGCTGGTACAGGAGATCCAGACAGAATAGCAGTAACACCCACGATCCTGCCCCCATCACTTTTACTTCCTTGCAGCCACCTTGCCTTGCGGGCAGGAGCAGGGGGTGGGAGGAGAAACCCTTCTACACAGCAATCGCATCTCTCTGCTTTTTCTTCCAGAGTTCTAGAGACAGTCACATCTGTCTCCTCTGCTTCCTCTTCACCTTTCTCTAACACATTTTCCCCAAAACACTTCAGCCCTGAGAATGGAGGCCAGGATGCCTATGACGAAGCCCTTGCTTTTCTTGCTGTTGTTCTTTTGCTTCCCATAATCCACCAGAGCTATAAGAGGTGGCTTTTTACTTCTCTCTCCAGCACTGATTCTCCCACTATTATATCTAGTTCTTTCCCAAAGTTAATTCATTCCAGCCATTTCCTTGAGCCACAATGGTGGATTGAATGAAGGAAGAGAAAGCGGCTTACCAACAATGACAGATCTAAAATGATCTTTTATTAGGACTGTTATCGTTATTAATGGCAAGATTAAAAATATACTTTGACTCAGGCTCCGGGGTTGACATTCCCAATGAAATTTTGAAAACCTTTGTGAGGTAAATATGATTATATTCACTTACAAATGAGGAAGAGGCATCTAGGCCAGAAAAGAAAATGGCGAGCTTGACACAGGTAACAGGGAATGAAACCAGAACCTGAAACCAGCTCTGTCTGATTCAGAGGCTCAGGCTCATTCCATTATACTGTAGCCCTGAGAATATTAAGAGATGGGGGAAATATCTCCTTCACTCTCAGCCTGCTCCTCAGATTCAAAGCCAGGGATTTTTGTTTTCTTTTTCTGACCTGACCATATGCCTTTAAACCTAGCTGAATACCACACACCACATAGCTGGTACCCAGTGACAAGGCACAGCCTCCCGGCTCCTTGCAAACAGTTGTCTCGAACCATGCTTTGCTTCTATCTTGACTCTTAGCTCCCTTCTCAGTTCCTGAGGGTATTGGGCTCGTAAAGTTCCAAATTTCATCAGTTGTGTTACCATCTACCCCACCCTTGTGGATTTGGCAGCTTTCCCTTTGATACACAGAGGTCTTTCAAGCATGACCTTAACTTTCCTTAAGTTCTTCTGATCCTTCCCTGTTCAAGAACGGATCTCAGCCCAGCACCTGAGAGGTGGAATGGACACCAGGCTGCTGGGCTAGCATCTCTGCTGGACTTGTCTCTTCCCTGTGATCAATGCAGACAGAAGATTCTGGCTTAACTCCTGCTGCCAACTCCATTATTATTACATTCATCTCTGGTAATGGACCCTTTGGTTGGACAACAGCTATGGTTAGATTCTGGAGAAGGGAAGCTACCCAACCTCTTCCAATAACGGGGATACAATGCCCCCTGTCCAAGTACACACACTGTTATTTAGTCATTTAGTCCTTTTAGGAATAATGGTAAGGCCTTGGCATGGGTCTGCCTTTACGGATACCTGGATATTCTCCTAGAAGCATATCTATGTCATTGGCACCCCTACTCTCACACCGTCTTCGATGGTTCTCAAAGTCATTTATTAAACAGAATGAGTCATTAAAAGCAGTCCACTATGTGTGCTCTTCACTGCTTAAAAGGTGGTACATTTTGTTTGAGCAGGAATTGGAGAGAGCCGCTGAAGAATTTTTTTTGTTTTCCATAGCACGAGATGTTGAAGATTTTGGTTCCAAAGGAAAAACACTAGGTCAATATTTTTTTTAAAAAAAGTAAGATTCGGAC